>NC_000001.11:55311410-55462925 GCF_000001405.40 Homo sapiens | reverse complement strand
TAATCCTTTAAAATAAATCATTGACAGTGAGCATAAATTGAGATCATGATAGAAATAGAAAATATAGAGTGAAATATAAAGAAAAGAAAAAAGACTAAAAAGAGCAATGAAATAGAAACACTTAAAGAGGTAGTCTTCTGAAATAAAAATATATATATTGGAAACTGAACATAGGCAGACTTCACTTGCATGGAATACAAAAAGAAACAAAAAAAGTAACTCTTGCAATTCCTATAACTAAAATTAAAGTTAAAAGGCTGAGCACAGTGGCTCACATCTGTAACACCAGCACTTTGGGAAGCTGAGGCAGGAGGATCTCTTGAGCTTAGGATTTCAAGACCAGCCTGGGCATTTCTGTCTCTACAAAAAAAATAAAATAAAATAAAATAAAAAATAATAATAAAAATGAAATAAAATTAAGAGTTAAAAAAATAGCAAAGCTTCCTATAGTATCTAAAAACACAAGTGATACTGGGTATTGGCATGGGGATTTAAAGATAATGTTATGTGTCCAATATTTAGCCAAGCATAATGAATGATACTTTACTTGGTACTAAAAGCATAATATTTATAGAACACAGTGGAAAATATCTAGGTTTACTTAAAATGATTTTGACATTTGGTGCTGTAAGAGCAGAAATTGCAAATTTGACTTTTTTTTAATTATGCTTTAAGTTCTAGGGTACATGTGCACAACATGCAGCTTTGTTACATATGTATACATGTGCCATGTTGGTGTGCTGCACCCATTAACTCGTCATTTACATTAGGTATATCTTCTAATCCTATCCCTCCCCACTCTGCCCACCCCACAACAGGCCCTGGTGTGTGATGTTCCCCACCCTGTGCCCAAGTGTTCTCATTGTTCAATTCCCACCTATGAGTGAGAACACATGGTGTTTGGTTTTCTGTCCTTGTGATAGTTTGCTCAGAATGATGGTTTCCAGCTTCATCCATGTCCCTACAAAGGACATGAACTCATCATTTTTTATGGCTGCATAGTATTCCATGGTGTACATGTGCCACATTTTCTTAATCCAGTCTATTATTGGTGGACATTTGGGTTGGTTCCAAGTCTTTGCTATTGTGAATAGTGCCACAATAAACATACCTGTGCATGTGTCTTTATAGCAGCATGATTTATAATTCTTTGGGTATATACCCAGTAATGGGATGACTAGGGCAAATGGTGTTTCTATTTCTAGATCCTTGAGGAATTGCCACACTGTCTTCCACGATGGCTGAACTAGTTTACAGTCCCACCAACAGTGTAAAAGTGTTCCTATTTTTCCATATCCTCTCCAGCACCTGTTGTTTCCTGACTTTTTAATGATCGCCATTCTAACTGGTGTGAGATGGTATCTCACTGTGGTTTTGATTTGCATTTCTCTGATGGCCAATGATGCTAAGCATTTTTTCATGTGTCTGTTGGCTGCATAAATGTCTTCTTTTGAGAAATGTCTGTTCATATCCTTTGCCCACTTGTTGATGGGGTTGTTTGAATGGTTTTTTTGTAAATTTGTTTAAGTTTTTTGTAGATTCTGGATATTAGCCCTTTGTCAGATGGGTAGATTGTAAACATTTTCTCCCATTCTGTAGGTTGCCTGTTCATTCTGATGGTAGTTTCTTTTGCTGTGCAGAAGCTCTTTAGTTTAATTAGATCCCATTTGTCAATTTTGGCTTTTGTTGCCATTGCTTTTGATGTTTTAGTCATGAAGTCCTTGCCCATGCCTATGTCCTGAATGGCATGGCCTAGGTTTTCTTCTAGGGTTTTTATGGTTTTAGGTCTAACATTTAAGTCTTTAATCCATCTTGAATTAATTTTTGTATAAGGTGTAAGGAAGGAATCCAGTTTCAGCTTTCTACATATGGCTAGCCAGTTTTCCCAGCACCATTTATTAAATAGGGAATCCTTTCCCCATTTCTTGTTTTTGTCAGGTTTGTCAAAGATCGGATGGTTGTAGATGTATGATATTATTTCTGATATTATGTTCTGTTCCATTGGTCTATATCTCTGTTTTGGTACCAGTACCATGTTGTTTTGGTTACTATAGCCTTGTAGTATAGTTTGAAGTCAGGTAGCATGATGCCTCCAGCTTTGTTCTTTTGGCTTAGGATTGTCTTGGCAATGCGGGCTTTTTTTGGTTTCATATGAACTTTAAAATAGCTTTTTCCAATTCTGGGAAGAAAGTCATTGGTAGCATGATGGGGATGGCATTGAATCTATAAATTACCTTGGGCAGTATGGCCATTTTCACGATATTGATTCTTCCTATCCATGAGCATGGAATGGTCTTCCATTTGTTTATGTCCTCTTTTATTTCATTGAGCAGTGGTTTGTAGTTCTCTCGAAGAGATCCTTCGCTTCCCTTGTAAGTTGGATTCCTAGGTATTTTATTCTCTTTGAAGCAATTGTGAATGGGAATTCACTCATGATTTGGCTTTCTGTTTGTCTGTTATTGGTGTATAGGAATGCTTGTGATTTTTGCACATTGATTTTGTATCCTGAGACTTTGCTGAAGTTGCTTATCAGCTTAAGGAGATTTTGGGCTGAGACGATGGGGTTTTCTAAAAATACAGTCATGTCATCTGCAAACAGGGACAATTTGACTTCCTCTTTTCCTAATTGAATACCCTTTATTTCTTTCTCCTGCCTGATTGCCCTGGCCAGAACTTCCAACACTATGTTGAATAGGAGTGGTGAGAAAGGGCATTCCTGTCTTGTGACAGTTTTCAAAGGGAATGCTTCCAGTTTTTGCCCATTCAGTATGATGTTGGCTGTGGGTTTGTCATAAATAGCTCTTATTATGTTGAGATACTTCCCATCAATACCTAGTTTATTGAGAGTTTTTAGCATGAAGGGCTGTTGAATTTTGTCAAAGGCCTTTTCTGCATCTATTGAGATAATCATGTGGTTTTTGTCATTGGTTCTGTTTATGTGATGGATTACATTTATTAATTTGCATATGTTGAACCAGCCTTGCATCCCAGGGATGAAGCCCACTTGATCATGGTGGATAAGCTTTTTGATGTGCTGCTGGATTCGGTTTGCCAGTATTTTATTGAGGATTTTTGCATCGATATTCATCAGGGATGTTGGTCTAAAATTCTCTTTTTTTGTTGTGTCTCTGCCAGCCTTTGATATCAGGATGATGCTGGCCTCATAAAATGAGTTAGGGAGGATTCCCTCTTTTTCAATTGATTGGAATAGTTTCAGAAGGAATGGTACCAGCTCCTCTTTGTACCTCTTGTAGAATTCAGCTGTGATTCCATCTGGTCCTGGACTTTTTTCGTTGGTAGGCTATTAATTATTGGCTCAATTTCAGAGCCTGTTATTGGTCTATTCAGGGATTCAACTTCTTCCTGGTTTAGTCTTGGGAGGGTGTATGTGTCCAGGAATTTATCCATTTCTTCTAGATTTTCTAGTTTATTTGCGTAGAGGTGTTTATAGTATTCTCTGTTGGTAGTTTGTATTTCTGTGGGATCAGTGGTGATATCCCCTTTTCATTTTTTATTGCATCTATTTGATTCTTCTTTCTTTTCTTGCAAATTTGACTCTTAAAGTAATAAGATAAATAATTATTATCTAGGATGAAGATTTCAGAATGAGGGTTTTAATTTCATTGTGAATAAAGAGAGAAAATTAAATTTTTTAAACAATATTAAATAATATTAATATCATAATATTCAATAATTGTTGCTCAGCTCAACCAGTTTGTAACAGGTATAAAAGTCATGTTAGGCTCGGCGCGATGGCTCACGCTTGTAATCCCAGCACTTTGGGAGGCTGAGGTGGGCGGATCCCTTAAGGTCAGGAGTTCCAAGACCAGCCTGACCAACAAGGTGAAACCCCATCTCTACTGAAAATACAAAAATTAGCCAGGTGTGGTGGCAGGCGCCTGTAACCCCAGCCACTCAGGAAGCTGAGGCAGGAGAATCACTTGAACTTGGGAGGCAGAAGTTGCAATGAGCAGAGATCATGCCACTGCACTCCAGCCTGGGCAACAGAGAGAGACTTTGTCTCTCAAAAAAAAAAAAAAAGTCATCTTAAACAACCAGAAAACACGTTGAAATTAATGTGTATTATATTCGTATCATAGCTCATAAAAAGTACAGACTGTGACTTCATTGAAGAACTGAAAAAATCAACTGTGGTTTTAGTCATTGATTTGTTGAGGGTAAGCCTATGAAAAAGATGCTAACATTGTGGGTAAAGGAAGGGATATACAACCAGAATTCAGAAGTATTCCTATGGTATGCATGGTACACATTAATTAATTTGTTATTAGAAGACTTGGCCTCAGTTGTGCTAATACCAATATCATTCTTTGGAGCAATTCAAAGTTGTAAGATTTTGATGAAACACATACCATATTTGACCTGTCAACTCTCTCCAATGCAAGATAGGAATGCCAACCACATGCATTCAAGTAATTAGATTTAACTTATTTCAATTTTTATATCGATTTTATCAGGGTACAACTTACTCTAAATGCACCTGTTTTGAGTGTACAGATGAGTTGTGACAAAGGTACACACCAGTGTAACCACTACCACAATTAACATATAAACATTTCCATCACCCCAGAAAATTCCCCAATGTGCCTTTGCTGTCACTTCTGCCTCCCATCACCTACTCCTCACCCTAGGCAACCGCTGGTCTGCTTTATGTCACTATGACCATTATGCCTGCTCTAGAATTCCATGTTAAGAGGATTCACATAGTATGTACTCTTTGGTACCTGGCTTCTTTCACTCAGCCTTTCTTCTTTCACTCAGTTTTTGAGATTTAGCTGTGTTGCTGCATGCATCAGTAATTTGTTCCTTTTTATTGCTGAATATTGTTCCATTTACATGGATATACCACAATTTGTTTATCCATTCACCTGCTGATGAACATTTAAGTTGTGTCCAGTTTGGGACTACTGTGAATAAATATGCTATGAACGTTTGTCACTGTGTATATATGTGTTCATTCCTTTTGGATAAATGCCTAGGAGTAAAATAGCTGTGTTGTATGATTAGTATTATTACAGGAGTTATTAAGAAATCCGTTTAGACAGATAGGGCAAGGAGTCCTTGGTAAGGCTTTTTCTTTTAATAAAAACAACTCCCAAAACATTTCTTTTCTAACAGAAAAGCAGCTTGAAAAGCCAGGCCTACAAGCACTGATAGGCAAATGCTGGTGACTAGAAATTAGGTCCACCCAACCTGGCATTTTGCACCCTCTTCTCCTTGTCACCATGTGTACCAGGTATCATGGCCACCTCCAGATAACACCACATGTACAGGACATCATGGCGACCTGTATTTGCATATTAAAAGGCTAGGGTGGGAGGGCCAGTTTTGTTGCTGGGCTATGTGAATGACACACCTAGTCAAACCAATCCCCTGGGCCCTATGCAAATCAGACACCGCCTCCTCCAGCCTCCCAATATAACCAACTGCTCTCCACCACATCCCCAGGGGGGTTCTCTCCTTTCAGAGCCCCCCACCCCCTTCTTTCTTGACTATTAAATTTCCCACTCCTTAAAACCACTCCACATGTGTCCGGGTCGTCTATCCAATAGGCACAAGACAAAGGACCCTGGTGTTTCTCCAGTCATTGGAGCCATAAAAGTATGTTATCAACTCTTTAAGAAACTGCCAAATTCTTTGTAATATTTTCCATTCCCACTGACAGTCTAAGAGATTTTTAGTTGTTCCACATTCACCAAGTCTTAGTATGGTCAGTCTTTTTAATTCCAGCCATTCTTGTTGGTGTTTATTGGAATTACACTGTGATTTTAATATCTATTTCCTTTCTGACTAATAATGTAGGACATATTTTCATGTGCTTATTGGCCCATTGTTTATCTTCATTTGTGTAGTAGCTATTCAAATCTCTTTCCTGTTTTTCACTGGACTGTTTGACTGACTGATGAAGTTCTTTACTTTTTTCAGTATCACAAGAACATCAAGTAAAGGTTTTTATATATTCTTGTTACTAGTCTTTAAAAGGTATACATCTATTATAAATACTTTCTCTCAACTATGGCCTGGGTTTTATTTTCTTAACATTTTACTTTGAAGAGCAGAAATTTTTAATTTTTTTTTTTTTTTGAGATGGAGTCTCACTCTGTCGCCCTAGTTGTAAACTAGTTCAAACTGGAGTGCAGTGGTGCGATCTCGGCTCACTGTAAGCTCTGCCTCCCAAGTTCACGCCATTCTCCTGCCTCAGCCTCCCTAGTAGCTGGGACTACAGGTGCCCGCCACCACGCCCGGCTAATTTTTTTGTATTTTTAGTAGAGAGAGGGTTTCAACTGTGTTAGCCAGGATGGTCTCGATCTCCTGACCTCATGATCTGCCCACCTCGGCCTCCCAAAGTGCTGGGATTACAGGCGTGAGCCACCGCGCCTGGCCAAAGAGCAGAAATTTTTACTTTTGATGAAATAACATGTATCAACTATTTTCTTTTGTGATTCATGATTCTATGTCCTAAGAAATTTTATTTCCAAAATCATAATATTTTATAGTTTTAGCTTTTACATTTAGATCTCTGACCAATTTCCAGTTAATTTTTATGTGACATGGGCTAAGAGTCAAGGTTCATATTTTTTCAAATGGATACCTGGTTCCAGCACCATTTGTTGTAAATGCAGTCCTTTCCCCATTGGATTACCTTGGCACGTTGGTCAAAAAGCAACTGACCCTATATTTTTTGGTCTCTGTTGGACTTTACTGTTTCATTAATCTAAATTTCTGCCTCTATACCAATAGCACTCTATCTTGATTACTGCATGCATTAGTTTGTTCTCTCATTGCTATAAAGAAATGCCTGAACCTAGAGAATGGGAGAAAATTTTTGCAATCTACCCATCTGACAAAGGGCTAACATCCAGAATCTACAAAGAACTTAAACAAATTTACAAGAAAAAAATCAAACAACCCCATCAAAAAGTGGGCAAAAGATATGAACACACACTTCTCAAAATAAGACATTTATGCAGCCAACAGACACATGAAAAAATGTTCATCATCACTGGCCATCAAAGAAATGCAAATCAAAACCACAATGAGATACCATCTCACACCAGTTAGAATGGCGATCATTAAAAAGTCAGGAAACAACAGGTGCCAGAGACGATATGGAGAAATAGGAACACTTTTACACTGTTGGGACTGTAAACTAGTTCAACCATTGTGGAAGACAGTGTGGCGATTCCTCAAGGATCTAGAACTAGAAACACCATTTGACCCAGCGATCCCATTACTGGGTATATACCCAAAGGATTATAGATCATGCTACTATAAAGACACTTGCACAAGTATGTTTATTGCGGCACTATTCACAATAGCAAAGACTTGGAACCAACCCAAATGTCCAACAATGATAGACTGGATTAAGAAAATGTGGCACATATACACCATGGAATACTATGCAGCCATAAAAATTGATGAGTTCATGTCCTTTGTAGGGACATGGATGAAGCTGGAAACTATCATTCTGAGCAAACTATCACAAGGACAGAAAACAAACACCACATGTTTTCACTCATAGGTGGGAATTGAACAATGAGAACACTTGGACACAGAGTAGGGAACATCACACACTGGGGCCTGTCGTGGGGTGGGGAGAGTGGGGAGGGATAGCATTAGGAGAAATATCTAATGTAAATGACGAGTTAATGGGTGCAGCACACCAACATGGCACATGTATACATATGTAACGAAGCTGCATGTTGTGCACATGTACCCTAGAACTTAAAGTATAATAAATAATAATAATAAAAAAATAAAAAATGCCTGAGACTGGGTAATTTATAAGAAAAGAGGTTTAGTTGGCTTAGGGTTCCACAGGCTGCACAGCAAGCATGGCAGCATCTGCTTCTGGGAAGGCCTGAAGGAGCTTTTACTTACAGGGGAAGGCAAAGCCGGACCAGGCACCTTACATGGCAGGAATACCAAGGGTGGGGAGGCATAGGTGCTGCACACTTTTCAACAACCAGATCTCTTGAGCACTCATTCACAAGAGTAGCACCAAAAGGATGGTGCTAACACATTCATGAGAAACCACCCCCATGATCCAATCGCCTCCCACCAGGCCCCACTTCCAACAATGTGGATCATGAATTCAACATGAGATTTCGTGAGTACACAGATCCAAGCCATATCACTGCAATTTTATAGAATATGTTGATATCAGGTTCTGTAAGTCATCCAGCTGTATTCTTTGTCAAAAATGTTTTGGCTATTTTAGGTCCTTTATGTTTACATGTAAATTTTAGAATCATTTGTCAGATTCTAAAAAAAGCTTCCTGATATTTTTTGGGGGTGATTTCATTGTATCTGTAGATCAATTTGGGAGATAAATGGCATCTTTAAAATATCGTCTTCTGATTCTTGAGTATGGCATACCATGTCACTAATTTAAGTCTTAATTTCTCTCATTAGTGTTTTGTAGTTTTCATATATTTTAATAAACTTACTCTATTTTATGTTTTTTGATACTACTTTACATTGTGTTAATTTTATTTTCCATATGTTCCTTGCTATAAATAGAAGTACAATTGACTGGTATATTGAAGTTGTAGCCAATGGCCTTGCTAAATTCACCTAGTTCTAGTAGTGTTTTATAGTTTCCTTGGGATTCTCTACATATATGATCATGTCATCAGCAAACAAAGATAATTTTACTTCTTCTTTTCCAAGTACCTTTTTTCCTCTTGTTTTATTGACTGTCTAGGATCTCTAGTTATTACTGAGTAGAACTGGTGAAAATGGATATCCTTAAATGTGGAGAAAAAATATTTATTCTCAGCATTAAGTTTGAGATCAATTGTAGGTTTTATTGTAAATTGGGTTAAGGAAGCTTCCTTCTATTCTTAGTTTACTGAGAAATTTTATCATAAATTACTGTTTAATGTCATTAAATACTTTTTCTCTAGCTATTGAGATGATCATATTGTTTTCTCCTTTATTCTATTAATATCATTTTGTTACATAACTGAATTTCAGATGTTAAACCAAAATTATATTCCTGAGATAAATACAGGATATTGCTTGATATTATTTGCTAATGTTTTGCTAGCATTTTGCATCTATATTTCTGAGGGATATTATTCTTGGATTTTCTTTTCTTTTAATATCTATGTCTGCTTTTTAAATCAGGGTAATGTTAGACTCATAAAAATGAGTAAGGGACTATTCCCCTTTCCTCTAAAAAGGTTTTGTCTAGGATTGGTATTATTTCTTTCTTGAATGTTTGGTGGAATTCACCAGTGAAGCCATCTGGGTATTATTATGTTTTGTTTGGGAAATTTATTTTTGATTTGTTGGGAAATTTATTTTTAACTTTTAATTTTGTGATAATTTTAGGTGTACAGAATGACTGCAAGAAATAGTACACAGAGTTCCCATATATCCTTCACCCAACCTCTCCTGGGGTTAATATCTCACATATCCTTAGTACAATTATCCAATTTTTTAAAACTTGGTATAATACTATTTATTAGATAAACATCAGAGTTATTTGGATTCACCAGAATTTTACACTAATGCTCTCTGTACATTCCAGAATCTAATCTAGGCTGCCACATTGCATTTAGTTTTATATCTTTAGAGACTCATCCAATCTGTGACGGTTTCTCAGCCTTTCCTTGTCTTTCATTAATCATGACTTTGAGGCTTTAAAAAGTACTTGTCAATGATTTTGTAGAATAGCCATCATTTGGGGTTTTTATACTGTTCTTTTATGAATGGACTGAAGTTATGCAGTATGGGGAAGAAAACCTCAGAGGTAATATGCCCTTCTCAGCACTCATAGTAGGCAATACATGAAGTTGATACACCTTATTGGGGGTTAACCTTGATTACTTTGTTAAGGTGGGGTCATTCATGTTTCGCTACCATAAGGTTTCTATTTTTTCCTTTAGATTAATAAGTACTTATTTTGGGGATAATACTTTGAAATAGAACCCAAATCCTGTCCTTCTTTAAACTTTAAAATTTTATCATTCATCAGTTAATCTTGCTTACAGAAATTATTACTGTCTTTACATAATATGTTTTTCCCCCTTTTTGCTGCTTTTGGGATTTTCTCTTTATTGCTGGATGACTGAATTTCAGCGATTTGATTACAACATGTTTTAGCTGTGTGGGTATGTGTGTGGGGGTGGGTGGGTGTGGGAGTGGATGTGTGTCTTGCTTAGAATTCATTGAGTATCATGGATTTAAAAATTTATAGCTTGTTATCATATTTAGAAAACTTTTCAGCCATTATTTCTTCTAATATTCTTTCTGTTCTTTCCCCATACCTTTTCTGGGACTTCAATTACACTGACATTAGACTGCTTATTTAATCCCAGGTGTCACTGAAGCTTCGTGCTTTCCTTTTAAGTTTTTTTTTTCTCTCTGTGCTTCAGTTTAAATGGTGTTGTAAACTGAGTTGTGTTCCCCTAAAAATCATATGTTGAAACCCTAACCCCAATGTAACTAACAGTCACATTTTTCTTGGAGATAGGACTGTTAGGAAAGAAATTAAGGTTAATTGAGGTCATAAGGGTGAGGCCCTAATTGAAGAGAAGTGATGTGCTTATAAGAAGAGAGACACCGGCTGGGCGCAGGGGCTCACGCCTGTAATCCCAGCACTTTGGGAGGCCAAGGCAGGTGGATCACCTGAGGTCAGGAGTTCAAAACCAGCCTGACCAATATGGTGAAACCCTGTCTCTACTAAAAATACAAAAATTAGCCGGGTGTGGTAGCGTGTGCCTGTAGTCCCAGCTACTGGGGAGGCTGAGACAGGAGAATCGCTTGAACCTGGGAGGCAGAGGTTGCAGTGAGCCAAGATGGCGCCACTGCATTCCAGACTGGGTGACAGAGCAAGACTTCATCTAAAAAAAAAAAAAACAAAACAAAAAGAAGAGAGATATCAGAGCTTTCTCTGTGCGCAGAGAATAGGTCATGTGACAACATGGCAAGAAAAGGGCCATTTAAAAGCCAGGAAAAGACATCTGCCAGAAACCAACATGGATGGTACCCTGCTCTGGTCTCTTTTCCTCCACATTGTGAGAAAATACATTTCTGTTGCTTAAGCCACCCTGTTTGTGGTATTTTGTTATGGCTGCCCAAGCAGACTAATGCAGATTAGTATATTGCTCCACTGAACTTATCTTCTATGTCTAATGTGTTTTAATCCTATTAAATGTGAGCTTTTTGTTTAAAATTGAATTTTTTATCTATGAAAGTTTTCTATGGCCGGGCGCGGTGGCTCACACCTGTAATCCCAGCACTTTGGGAGGCCGAGGCAGGTGGATCCCGAGGTCAGGAGATCAAGGCCGTCCTGGCTAACAGGGTGAAACCCTGTCTGTACTAAAAATACAAAAAATTAGCCGGGCATGGTGGCGGGCGCCTGTGGTCCCAGCTACTCAGGAGGCTGAGGCAGGAGAATGGCATGAACCCGGGAGGCGGAGCTTGCAGTGAGCCGAGATCAAGCCACTGCACTCCAGCCTGGGCGACAGAGCAAGACTCCATCTCAGAAAAAAAGAAAAGAAAGAAAGTTTTCTATTTCACTTGTTTTATATCTTCCATTTCAATATTTATTGTGTCCATGTTCTCCATTAAATATTTGAACATATTTATAATTATTTTAAAGTTATTATCTGCTCCTTTTATTATCTGTCATTTCTGGGTTTGTTTCAGTTGGCTGGTTTTTCTTCTTTTTAAAAAAATTTTATTTCCCTCCTTTCTAATGTATCTACTAATTTCCAATTGGATCCTGGACATTGTTGTGCACTGGATTTTGTTTGTTTCCTTTAAAGAGTGTTAGACTTTGTTCTGGTGGCTTAAATTGTGAATTAGCTTGATCCTTTCAAAACTGGTTTTATGCTTCATAGAGTAGCTTTTAATTTAGGGCCAATTTAGTACTTCTAATAAAGCATGACCCTTCTGGTATTTACTAAATCCCTTGGTTCTCTTCACTCTGGCTGATTAGAATGCAAACATCTCCCAGTACTCTGTGAGCTTTGGGAATTATTCTGCTTACAACTCCCCAGGTACTCTTTCCTTGGTTTCAGAGTTTCACACTATGCATGTGCAGCTTAATATCCAGCAGCAAACTCAAGAGGAATCCTATGCAGATATGTGAAGTTTTTCACTGTGTAGTTCTCTCGTCTCTGGTATTCTCGTCACCAAATTCCAGCGACGTCCACCTACCTAAATCCTGATCTCAAATTCCTCAACTCAGTGGGACTGCCATGATCTAATTGACATCTCCCTCCCTGTACCACAGCCCAAAAAACTGCCTCTGTGCTGAACTCAAAGTCATCATTGGACTCATTTGTTTTCTTCCTCTAACTTTTGTTTTCATTTGTTTTTCCACTTTTCTAGTGATTACAGAGGGAAAATGAATTTGGACCAAGTTAGACCAGAAGGCTAGAACCAGAAGTCAACATTTTTCCAATTCAATTTCGTATAGGTAAAATATAAGATTAAGAAGATATTACTATCAATAGATCATGAATTATGTCAAAATATTGATTACAGTAACATAATTGTTAATTTTGCAGCAATGGAGGCTAGAAAAATTAATTTTATAAATTTTATAAAAATAAATGAATTACATGAATTTCCATTTTTACCATTCACTCAAACATTATTGGCTTGTCAATAGGATGCTTAGATATATTCAATAATAATTAAATTCAGTCATTTTTTATACTTTGCCAACTTTCACTCCTTTAAAAACTGTAACTTAACTTTTTTAATTTTATCAAAATATGTTACTTAACAGCTTATTAAGTTGATTTACAACTTATAAAATATTTAGACACATGGTATATGAGTCCCATTTAAACTCCTGCTCCAGGCACTGCCAGTGTTACAGATGGGCCTGTGCTTGCCAAGAGACAAGCACTCACCCCCAATGCCTCTTCATTCCTCTGCCTCCATGTTGATAATCCCAGGAATCCCCTGCTGTGCTGGGAGCCACTGTCTTTACCAGTGGCTAGTGCTGATGCTTCACATCAGCCTCTGTAAGGGCACGGCTCTCCTCATAGTCCTAGAGGAATCCTAGTCTTTTCATTCCCTTCCTAGTGGCCCTTGGATTTCGGTTCACCTCTTCAAGGCTGCCATAGATGTTGGCTACTCCAGAGTCAGCTCACTTCTCTGGACTGCTTGGACATTATTGCCATTATTTCTACTAGTAAAATCGGAGGTTCAAGATACTACAAATGTATGTCCTGCCTCTGCATGGCCAACAGCAGCTCACTGTCCCCTAAGTCCTTGTATTAGTTTCCAGTGGCTGCAGTAACAAATGACCATAAATTTGGTGGCTTAAAACAACAAAAAATGTTATTTTCTCACAGTTCTGGAGGCCAGAAATCCAAAATCAGTATCACTGAGTCAAAAATCAAGGTCTTGGAAAGGTTATGTTTATTCTAGAGGCTCTAGAAGAAAATTTGTTCCTTGCATCTTCCAGCTTCTTTTGGCTGCTGGCATTCATTAGCTAGTGGCTGTGTCATTCCAATACTGCCTCACTCATCATATTGCTTTCTCCTTTTTGCATGTTATCGAGTCTCCCTTTCCTTGCCACTTATAAGGATACATTTGATTTTTTTATTTGCTTTTTCCTATAAATGCCCTAATGTACCACTAGATATAGGTACTTTGCAGACTCATCACCTCTCCTCATAGGGCTGATAGAGTAGGCACTGAAGGGATTCTTGTTCACTCAAAGGCATCATGCAAATTGAAGAGTCTTTGAAAATGGAGGAGAGAAATCTCCTTTCTAAAACCATATTTTATCATATTTGATTGTCATAAAAATTACACTTAAGAAGTGGGTGGGTGGGAGGAGAAAGAGCCAGGCTCTAACGCCAGCTTTGCCATTAGCTAATGGTCCAGCCAGAGAGGCACAACTTCATCTCCCAGGCCTGGTGTTTCTCCCTGGCCAACTGTGGATACAAATACCAATGGCTTCGGATTCTTAGGAGATTTATAGTAGCCAGGCAGAAGATAGGGCTATGTACAATACAGAGTTATACAAATACTGTTTTCCTTATTAATGACCCTATGGATGGATATTATTATCACCAATGCTAAAAAGAAGTGACGCCCTGCCGCACATCACACTCTGCGAGTAAGTGGCAGAGCCATGATTCAAACCCAGAATCCAATTTCAATTCTACCCTCAGTAGCAAAAGATCACTGATAACCTTTCAGGATTTGGTGGCTAAAAACAGGCACACTTTTTCCTTTTATGAGAATATTCTGGTACTTCTAATCTGCTATGTATAACCTGAATGCTGAGAGTATTAGAACTCTGTGAAACATAAGAAACCATAGGCTATGAATGAGGGCCTGAGAAAACACACAATTTTTAAAATTTGTTTACCATTCACAGCTCTTTTTTGGCCTACTTCCTAATTTCCACATATTCATTCCAAAAATATTTATGTAGTGATATAATAATGGTAGTCATCATAAAAAGTATTATTAGTAGTATTTTATCAACAGCTATAATCTACTGAGCAGTTACTCTGTGACAGTCAATGTGGTCTATAGGCCCCAGAGACACAGAGGAAAAAAAGCATGGTTTAGCTGGGTTTCTGGAAGATAGAGACTAACTTGCAGGCTGTTACAAAATGAGGTAAAGAAAGTGTAACTCCTCCAGAAAATAAAGGCCTTGCTATATACTAGCTGTTAATATTCCTCATGAAGAACACAATACAGAATTTTCAGGATGGGGCTACAGTCACGGAGCAAAGGTTTACAAGCAACAATTCCCTCATCTAAAAGCAAAGGAAGGAGGAGTGCGGATTCAAGAATTTGAAATACAGAATTCCCCACTTTCAACCTGGTGGTTGAGATACTTAATGTTTGCTTTTTTCCCTTTACTTGGTAAATGAAAAAAAAACTAAATTTTGTAGTTAACACATTATAAGCAAATACTATAGCTAAAAGAGGTTTGAAAAACCAGAAAACTAGCTTAAATATTATTTGATTGTAAATCCGATTTTTATCCTTTCTAATCTTATTTAGCTATTAATTTGCTTAAAGCCTCTGTTGCATATATTCTGCAAAGAAAAAACCTCACCTACCACCACTCTTATATTATTTAGAATAATTATGTGCTTAGAATAATAGTTGTAGCTATTCACTGATGAGGGTGGACAAGTTTTTGTTTGCTTGTTTTTAATAGTCTCCAGCATTTGGAGAGTTCCTTAGTGTTTGCAAAGCACCTTCCCATTCATCTTCTCTGTTGAGCCTTACATCATCTTCATAGTACAGACGACTAAAAGTAAATAGGTGTGTCATAGCACTTGCCCAAGCTCACGCACTTGGTAAGAAGTAGAGCTAGGAGTCCAAACTTTGACCCTCTGGAAACCTCCTATGATTAAGTAGAAGCAAATCAACTTATTTAAGACCTCTGGGTTGGACATAAGTTTTTCAGTGACAATACTCTAAAAAGGCACCAGAAAATGAGTATTATCAATGAGGGACATTACCAAAAGAAAGAAAAAATACACAAGAAGAATCTGGGATTTGAAGCCTTGCACATCCAGGTTTGAACCCCAGTTCTGCCATTAGTAATAAAAAGTCACACTGCTTAGACATATGTGATTTTCGTCTGTTTAATTACTTTCTGCCTCACAAGGATATTATTGAGTTAGTGCAGAAGTAATTGTGGGTTTTGCCATTACTTTTTTTTTTTTTTTTTTTTGAGACAGAGTCTCACTCCATCACCCAGGCTGGAGAGCAGTGGTACGATCTCGGCTCACTGCAACCTCCGCCTCCCGGGTCTAAGCAATTCTCCTGCCTCAGCCTCCAAGTAGCTGAGATTACAGGGACATACCACCACGCCTGGCTAATTTTTGTATTTTTAGTAGAGATGGGGTTTCACCAAGTTGGCCAGGCTAGTCTCAAACTCCTGACCTCAAATGATCCACCCACTTCAGCCTCCCAAATTTCTGGGACTACAGGTGTTAGCTACCGCGCCCGGCCTTTTATTTTTAATGAAGACAGGAGCTGTCATTATTGTTCACCACCAAATTCTCAGCACTCAGCCTAGTGCCTGGTGCATAGCAGGCTTTTGCAAATATCCGTTGAATATATATTCCCATCGAAGTAAGCCTCTTCTCCCCTCTGAGCCTCAGCTTTGCCATTTGCAAAATGGGCATAATAATAACTAGGTTGAAGGATAGTAAGGTTTAAATTAAAAAGGAAATTCTAACTTCTCAATGAAAGGTAGTTTCCCTGTCCGCCTTTCTCATTGTTTTATCATCTCACAGGTCCACTCCTCAAATGTGTGTTCTCTAGAAGGCAGGCTGGAACACAGACAGGAATGGCTGTCTGGGTGGTGCGATCATTTCTGAGCTGCACAGACACAGTATGACACAGCAATGAAAAATGGCATTGCTATTCAGACTTAAAACCAGCATCTCTCATTTTTAATGTTCTGCCAATAGAAATCTCAGCCTCTTCAAAGGACTGAGTATCCCATCCATATTGCCCCACTTATCAACTGTGTTTTTTAAAGAAATAAACATTTCTGCTTCCTGAGCAAAAGCAAAAAGAGATTTAGTAAATACACAATCATTTGATCAACATTCATGCAGGGCTCAAAGCTGATTGCTCAAGATGAGTTTATTGTGGACAAAAATCTAGCATTTAGATCCTCCCTAACCTGGCCCTTCTCTTTCTGTCCAATGTAAAGAGGCAGCAGATTGGAATGGGAGAGACTAGACTATAGTCAGTCAGATCTAATTTCAATTCCAGTTCCATCACTTATGGACACATAACTTAGACAGTATCCTATGCAAGCTTCAATTTCCTCACCACAAATGAAGTGCATATGAAGTGGCTAGAAAAGTACCTGGCTGGTAGCAGGTACCCCAAACAAATATCCTGCTGAGGATATTTATATCTATATTATTGGGAATCTACTGTGTGCCAGGCACTGTTCTAGACCCTGGGGATGCAAAGAGGAACATGATATCACTCTTGAGGAGGTTACTGTTGAGGGAGGGAAACAAATGCATCAGGTGCCTATTATCAATGATATGGGAGTTCAAAGGAGATGGACCCAAGACAGCTGGGAGAGCCAGGGAAGGGTTCCTGGGGAAAGCCACGCCTGAGCTGAATCTATCAGGGTGAAAAGTAGAAGAGGCAATCCAGGCTGTGATAAGAATACAGCCAAAAGGCTGAGGACTCTGGGATAGCACAGTGATGTAAGAACCAGACAAACAGGGCAAGCCGGTGAGTGGTGGGAGATGAAGCTAGAAAGTAGGCATAGTCATATCAAGAGTCTTGATGCCACTTCAAAGTGTACTTGCTTTCTAGGGCTGTCATAACCCAGTACCACAAACTGGGTGGCTCAAAACAACAGAAACTTATTCTGTCATAGTTACAGAGACCAGAAGTTCAAAATCAAGGTGTCGGCCAGTTTGGTTCCTTCTAGAGACTCAGAGAGAAACTGTTCCATGTGTCTCTCCTAACCTCTAGTTGGGCATTACTCCAGCCTCTGCCTCCATCTTCACATGGCATCCTCCTAGTATGTTTCTGTGTGTCTACATTTCTCTCTTCATTAAGGGCACCAGTCATTGGATTAGGGGCCCACACCACTTTGCTATCAGTTCATCTTAAGGTGGTCTCATCTGCAAAGACCCTGTTTCCAAATAAGATCATATTCATAGGTACTAGTGGCTAAGACTTGAGCTTATCATTTTGGGGGACACAGTTTAACCCACAAGATAATGGGAGTGACAGAGTTTTATGTAGTAAGGTCCCTTAGACTCTGGTGGTAAGAAATGATGACTGGAGACCTCCTCCTATGGTTCTGTTGCTTTGGTCACTAGGAAGCTCAAGTCAAACGGATAGCACACACTCACATCTTTTTTTTGGCACATGTACAGGGCACTACAATTTGTATCTCATCCATGAGCATTATTTCTGGTTCCCTCTTGTATTTTCTATCCTTATGTATCAGTCAAGTCCTAACAGGAAACAGAGGGAACACTCAATTTAAGATAATTCAAGAAAGGTTTATTTAAAACGGGGCTATTTACAGAGCTGTGGGCAGGAGATAGGGGAAGTACAACAGACAGTGCACTATCCAGGGGCCAATAACAGTGGAGCTTCACCACTAGTCCCAGGAGACAGAGCAATTACCTGTCTAGAAAGAAAGAGTCTTACTGAGAAGGTCAATTTGAGAGGATTTGTGTCCTCTAGGGAAGGACACAGCCTGCCCAAAGTGACTTCAGGACCTCACTCCCCTCCTCCCTCTGATCTCCTGCTGGTGCGCCCCATGGCCAAAGCCAGTAAAAATCCAGATATAAGCCACATGGTCAGTGCCCCAGGGCAGACAGCAGGACGGCAGGTGGAGTAGGTCTGAAGAGGCAAGTAGAAGAGACCCCCAGCAAGTCTTTTCCCTTGTCAGGGCTCACAATATAATACCCCAAAATATGGCATCTTGACACACGGAGGACTTTAAGCTGGAGGAAATTAAGAAAACTATAAAAGTGGGACGGTCTCTCTGACTTTCTCTGGCCTTTCTATCCTGAAGCAGGCCACAAAAGAATTCTCTGACCTACCTCCCCTAAACGTAGGTCACAAGACCCTCATTCCAGAAGTGTCCTGCCCTATATCCAGAGGCCAAGAAGAATCTGAACAAATAAACCTTGCTAAGTTCCCCCTAATTTTGCACCATTGGATGATACCCTTCTGTCCTTCAATCAAGCTTCTATTATGTCTGTCCATAAAAATATGCAGCTTTCCCTGGATCTTTGGGCCTTCATTTCCAAAGACTCCTCAGTCATGTAAAACTATATTAAACAAATAAGTTACGCTTTTCTCTTGTTAATCTGTCTTTGTCATTGGGATATCAGTCATAAACCTTGCAATAGGTTGGGAAAGAAATATTTTCTCCCCTACACCTTTCATTCTGATTTTCTAATTTATTTTTTATATTCTTTGTATTTGAGTCAGCAATCTCAAATCCTTCCTTTTTAGAATAAAAAGGGGAATAACCACCAAAAAGTATATAAAGCAGAGGCAGAATTTCCTGTCCCTTTCACCACAGTGCTCTCTGTCGTCAGCAGTTTGTAAGTTGCATGTGACAATCAGTTGAGTCACCCTGAGTGGTCATAGCAGGCTGACCCGCTATGGGATCAGAGCCCTTTGCGCACAGTCCTCTGGCCACTCAGCATGTTACATAAACTCCCGGCAGGCTCCCTATTTCCAGAGCTTTCCAAGGACATGCTTGCAGCAAGAGTCATCCTGGCACCAAGCACTTCTGACAGATGTTGCAAACTGCCAAGTGGAGAGGTCCAGATGGTGTGTTGAAGAGGGCAGAATGAGCCTCAGGACGGTACACAGGCTCTTCGTCTCACATGGAGAACACGCCAAATAATTCTGTGCACATGCTGAGAAGATCATCTTTCCTCCCTGAGCCCCAGGTTGCTTCTGGAGTATTTGGATTCAGGCATAGAATGTCAGAGCTGGAGAGTACCCTAGAGACCAACTAGTCCAAGCCCTTGTTAATACAGATGCATAGACTAAGGGCCAGAGAGCAGCAGGGTAATAGTGTATCATGGCTAGGGTTTGTTGAGTACCTACTGTCTCCCTGGTAATGTGCTATGTTTATTCATTCACATTCCTACTTATCACAGATGTGCTGAGTACCTGCTGCATGCAGGGCACTGTGCTAAGAAATGGAGATACATCTGGGGACAAGGCTGGCTTTATCCTGCCTTCATGGAGTCTACAGAATAATATGCTTTCGGCATGCTATCACTAATCCTTACCACAACTCTGCAAGGTGTGGTAGGAGACCACAGGTCTTAGAGACCGAAGTGACTCAGGCCACACACCACTCTTTCTTAAGAACTAGAAAAAGGCCAGGTGCAGTGGCTCACGCCTGTAATCCCTGCACTTTGGGAGGCTGAGGCAGGTGGAACACAAGGTCAGGAATTCAAGACCAGAATGGCCAAGATGGTAAAACCCCATCTCTACTAAAAACACAAAAATTAGCCGGGCATGGTGGCAGGTGCCTATAATCCCAGCTACTTGGGAGGCTGAGGCAGAGAACTGCTTGAACCCAGGAGGTGGAGGTTGCAGTGAGCCGAGATCACACCACCACAATCCAGCCTGGGCAACAGAGCGAGACTCTGTCTCAGGAAAAAAAAAAAAAAAAAACTAGAAAAATAAGGTTGCTCTCCATGAGTTAAATATAAACACTTCATGGAGCATCACAGCCACTGGAAGGAGGTAGGAAGGCACCTAGACTCGGAGGCCTTGATTGTAACCTGCTTGAAGATACTAATATTTTTAAAGAAGAAAACTGCATCCATCTGAAGAGGTTTGGGTCAGGTAGGAAGACAGAGAAAATGGATAACAGAAGCTTTGTTTAGAAAAAGGTCAGCATCTAGCACTCGAACTCTCTTGTGTGTGTTTTCCCTGTTTTCACTGAAGGAAATAGGGAAGAAAGCCTGTTTTCCTCAACTTTAGGGAAAATTGAATTCTCTTTTCAAGTTGATGCTTTGACAACTAACTGATTCTATCAAATAATGTTGGGCTGAGCTTCTAGCAGGCCCCAGGCTGTGACCCATGTTGTCTTATGAGGTAGACTCACTTTGAAGGGCTGTCCCACGAGATATCTCATGCTGTCCAGAAGAGAATTCACCTGAACTTCGGTGGTGAAAAACAGGGGCCTTAGTGTCAAGCAAACCTAGTTCAAGCCCTGGTTCCACCAGTTAAAGCTCTCGGACTTTGAGCAAGCCACTTATTCATCAGGGGTCTCAGCTTTGTCATCTATACAACAAGAATGATTATAATCCTTACTATTAACTAAATCCTTATATATAATAAATACTCAATTATTACTTTTTAAATCATTGTAATAATATTGATATATTATTACATATTAAGTACTGAATAATTGTCATTAGTATTAATAACAGCCATTTACATTACTCACTTGTTCGTAATAATAAAGTTATGTTTTTTGCTAGACAGCATTAGTTTAATCAATATTTTAAGTTTCTTTTCTGAATCTAAAGGTGAATACACATTCCTCAGAAAAATAAGAGAAAGCACAGAAAAGAATAGAGAGAAAAATAAAAAACAACTGTAGTCCCACAATCCAGAGAATACCACAGTTAGCATGTCAGTTTATTTCTCTCCAATGTCTTTTCTGTGTGTGTGTCTGTCTGTAAAGAGGTGAATTTTATGTAAATATGATCATACTTTACATATGTGACCATTTGCCAAGGAAAATAATTCTGTAACATTCTGTCATTGCACCATAGTTTATAAAAGCATTCTCTTATTGTTAGGCTTTGGGAGTTTTCCCCCAGATATTTTTATTCTTCTAAATCAGGCTATAATGAGATTCTTCATATAGAAATCTTTTCCACACCTCTCATAAATTTCGGAGAAAATTCTCTTGGTAAAATATTTAGATCAAAGGATATACATTTCTTTAAGTCTATAACACATTTTGTCAAATTAATTTCCATTAGGGTTATATTACGTTATTTTCGCTTCAGCACAATATGAATACTGCTTCTTTAAATCTTTCACTTCATAGATAAACTTAGCTTTTTTTCTATTTTATTGCCTGAATTACTCTTCAGTTTGGTAGTTACTGTTGTTTCTTTTTCTGAGAATTGTATAATTCACACCCTTGACCCACTTTTCTCCCACATCTTACTATGTTCTTATCACTATGCATAAGCTTTTTATATAAAGATATTTTTTGAATATCACACCCGTGGCAAATCAATTTCAGAGTGTGTTGTTTGGCTTTTAATTTTTAATGCTATTTTGACATACAAGTTTTAAATTTTATACAGTTTGAGAATTTAATTATTTATTTTTTATACTTTAAGTTCTGGGATACATGTGCAGAACATGCAGGTTTGTTACATAGGTATACACGTGCCATGGTGGTTCACTGCACCCATCATCTACATTAGGTATTTCTCCTAATACTATTCCACCCCTAGCCCCTCACCTCCCAACAGCCCCAGTGTGTGATATTCCGCTCCCTGTGTCCATGTGTTCTCATTGTTCAACTCCCGCTTGTGAGTGAGAACGTATGGTGTTTGGTTTTCTGTTCTTGTGTTAGTTTGCTGAGAATGATGGTTTCCAGCTTCATCCATGTCTCTGCAAAAGATATGAACTCATCCCTTTTTTTTTTTTTTTTTTTTGAGATAGAGTCTCGCTTTGTCGCCCAGGCTGGAGTGCAGTAGTGCGATCTCGGCTCACTGCAAGCTCCGTCTCCTGGGCTCACACCATTCTCCTGCCTCAGCCTCCCAAGTAGCTGGGACTACAGGCGCCCGCCATCACGCCCGGCTAATTTTTTATACATTTAGTAGAGATGGGGTTTCACCATGTTAGCCAGGATGGTCTTGATCTCCTGACCTCGTGATCCACCCGCCTCAGCCTCCCAAAGTGCTGGGATTACAGGCGTGAGCCACCGCGCCCGGCCTAACTCATCCTTTTTTATGGCTGCATAGTATTCCATGGTCTATATGTGCCACATTTTCTTTATACAGTCTATCATTGATGGGCATTTGGGTTGGTTCCAAGTCTTTGCTATTGTGAATAGTGCTGCAATAAATATACGTGTGCATGCGTCTTTATCGTAGAATGATTTATAATCATTTGGGTATATACCCAGTAATGGGATTGCTGGGTCAAATGGTATTTCTAGTTCTAGATCCTTGAGGAATCACCACACTGTCTCCCGCAATGGTTGAACTAATTCACACTCCCACCAACAGTGTAAAAGCCTCCCTATTTCTCCAGATCCTCTCCAGCACCTGTTGTTTCCTGACGTTTTAATGATTGCCGTTCTAACTAGTGTGAGATGGTATCTCATTGTGGTTTTGATTTGCATTTCTCTAATGACCAGTGATGATGAGCTTTTTTTTTCATATGTTTGTTGGATGCATAAATGTCTTCTTTTGAGAAGTGTCTGTTCATATACTTTGCCCACTTTTTGATGGGCTTGTTTTTTCTTGTAAATTTGTTTAAGTGCTTTGTAGAATCTGGATATTAGCCCTTTGTTAGATGGATAGGTTGCAAAAATTTTCTCCCATTCTGTAGGTTGCCTGTTCACTCTGGTGATAGTTTCTTTTGCGTGCAGAATCTGTTTAGTTTAATTAGAATTTAATATAAAGTATAATTAGGCCAGGAGCAGTGGCTCACACCTGTAATCCCAGCGCTTTGGGAGGCCGAGGCAGGTGGATCACTTGAGGCCAGGAGTTTGAGACCAGCCTGGCCAATATGGTGAAACCTTGTCCTTACTAAAAATACAAAAATTAGCTGAGTGTGATGGTGTGTGCCTGTACTCCCAGCTACTTGGGAGGTTGAGGCGGGAAGATCACTTGAACCCAGGAGGCGGAGGTTGCAGCAAGCTGAGATCACACCATTGCACTCCAGCCTGGGCAACAGAGTGAGACCCTGTCTCAAAAAAAAAATTATAATTAACACTGCTCTCATATATACAGCCAACTACAACTTCAAACTCTTAAACCTCACAACGTTCAAGAAAACTCAGAAGGACTAGCTATCTCCTGTATACTTAAACTAATTGTATAAAGCAATAACTATTATGTATATTAATGATGTGCTGCAACTAGGTTGGTGGTAGTTTATTATATTGTTCTCTCTTTTTTGCATGTTTTAAAATTTCCCATAATAAACAGTCTAAAACACAATTTTGGCATCTTGACTCCTTCATCAAGCATGCAAGTCCTTATATGACTTGTTTTCTGCTGCCTGTCAAGCTTCACGAACAGACATTCCTAATTTATGAACCTGGACAATTTTGAAATTGCTGTAAGCTTCGGTTACCTCCTCTCCTAAAAAAACAATGCAAAACAAAGAAGTGAATATACCCCAAACTTGGAGGACTGTTGACAGAAGGAAATGAATGAATGCATATCTAGCCTACAATGTGGAGCCTGGCACACGGCAAGCATTCAACAAACATTTTCTTTTATTATCATTATTACTATTATTATTTCAATTTCTTTATGTGGAACTTTCTTCCTGACAGAATCAGAAGCTGACCCTGGCCGAAAAGAAGTTTATTTCAAAGATACTTTTGGGAGGGCCAGAAGTCCAGCTCAAGACAAGGCTTAGGAATGATGCCCAGAAGCCTGGCCTAGGGAGAAGCCTCCTGTGGCTGCTCCAACCCTGCTGAGCATAGCTGGAAATGGCACTTGCCGCCCATCACCCTAATAGAACCCCTCTACGCCAGGGTGGATGCCCTGTAACACATCATGAAACCAGTTAGGAAGAGTGGTGAAGAGAAAACCAGTTAAATATCAAGTTGTCTCCGCTCTCAGCCAGCATGTCAACTGATCAGAGATTTTGACTTCATGGAGTGACCCAAACCAACAACTCGACAACAAACACTCCACAAATAATCCCATTGAAAAGTAGGCAAAAGACATGAATACACATTTTTTAAAAGAAGACATATAAATGGACAACAGGCATATGAAAAAATTGCTCAACATCACTAATCATCAGAGAAATGCAACTTAATACGACAATGAGATTTCATCTTACACCAGTCAGATGGCTGTTATTAAAAAGATAAAATGTAACACATGGTAAAGATGTAGAGAAAAGAGAACTCTTATACATTGTTGCTAGGAATGTGAATTAGTACATCTATGGAAAACAGTACAGAGATTTCTCAAAGAACTAAAAATAGAACTGCCATGTAATCCTGCAATCTCATTACTTGGTATCTACCCAAAAGAGAAGAAATCATTATATCAAAAATATACCTGCACTCATATATTTATCGCAGCACTATTCACAATAGCAAAAATATGGAATCAACCTAAGTGTCCATCGATGGAGGACTGGATAAAGAAAAAGTGGTATATATACACAATGGAATACTATTCAGCTATTAAAAGGAATAAAATCGTGTATTTTGCAGCAACATGAATGGAACCAAAGGTCTTTATCTTAACTGAAACAAGTCAGACACAGAAAGACAAATATTGCACATTCTCACTCATAAGTGGAAGCTAAATAATGTGTACAAATGGATGTAGAGTGTGGGATGGTAAACAATGGAGACTGAAGGCTGAGGGGGTAGAAGAGGGGTGGATGATGAGAGATTACTTAATGGATGCATCATATGGTATTCAGGAGATGGATACCCTAAAAGCCCTGACTTTAACACTACACAATCTATGCATGTAATAAAATTGCACTTGTACCCCATAAATTTATACAATCTTTTAAAATCTTTATTCCTGAGGGATCTGAGTCCATCAATCATCTTACCTGTAAGAAGATGTAGTAGCCTTCCTTTTTTTTTCTTAATTCCTGAACATTTTTTCGTAAATGTAGAAGACTCCACAGAAAAGCATCTGAATTCCAGACATATACTTACCCCTTCCCAATTTTGTTAGAAATTTTGCTAGCCCCTGATAATCAGAATTAATCACCCTAGAAAGCAAAGTGAACTTCTCTTTTGGCCTGTTTGTCATGGGCATGAAGGAGCCTGAAATAGCCCTGTAGCAGTTCAGCCTCCTACCCCATGGAACCACTGTTGTGTGGACAAATGAGATGACGCCTCATGTGGGAACTGAGACCTCCACCTGAGCCCAGAATCACAGGGATAGAAAGCAAAATATCCACAAATGGGGCATTAGGTCATAGGCAGATGGGCCTCCCACCCTTACCTCTTGATTCCCATGCTGAGGTATTCTGTCAGTGAGAGAAACTGCACTGTATACGGTCACTGTTCAGAACACAGACGACATCCTTAGGAACAGCACTCCAACCTTGCAACAGGTGCTGTCAACGAATCATCAGTAAACCATTTTATAATTTGTTAAAGACTACGGGCCACACAGTAAGCCCAGTCCAATCCTCTTGGCACTTAGATTTCTCAGCATCATCTCATAAATCAGTGATTCATTGGTCGTTTTATTTATAATATAAATAAAGCACCTTATCAATCAGATTGGCAGACTTGACAATTCCAAAACGAAATGTAAATACAGAAATCCTTCATGACACTGAAGTTGAGACAAAGACCCCAGATTGGCAGATTTAGCAATTTCTTTTTTTTCTTTTTTTCTTCTTTTTTTTTTGTATACTTTAAGTTCTGGGATACATGTGCAGAACATGCAGGTTTGTTACATAGGTATACATGTGCCACAGTGGTTTGCCGCACCCATTAACCCATCATCTACATTAGGTATTTCTCCTAATGCTATCCCTCCCCTAGTCCCCTACCCCCCGACAGGCCCCAGTGTGTGATGTTCCCCTCCCTGTTTCCATGTGTTCTCATTATTCAGCCCCCACTTATGAGTGAGAACATGCAGTGTTTGGTTTTCTGTTCCTGTGTTAGTTTGCTGAGAATGATGGTTTCCAGCTTCATCCATGTCCCTGTAAAGATATGAACTCATTCTTTTTTATGGCTGCATAGTATTCCATGGTGTACATGTGCCATATTTTCTTTATCCAGTCTATCATTGATGGGCATTTGGGTTGGTTCCAAGTCTTTGCTATTGTGAATAGTGCTGCAGTAAACATACATGTGCATGTGTCTTTATAGTATAATGATTTATAATCCTTTGGGTATATACCCAGTAATGGGATTGCTGGGTCAAATGATATTTCTGCTTCTAGATCCTTGAGGAATCACCACACTGTCTTCCACAATGGTTGAACTAATTTACACTCCCACCAACAGTGTAAAAGTGTTCCTATTTCTCCACATCCTCTCCAGCACTTGTTTCCTGACTTTTTAATGGTCTCCATTCTAATTGGCATGAGATGGTAGCTCATTGTGGTTTGGATTTGCATTTCTCTAATGACCAATGATGATGAGCTTTTTTTCATATGTTTGTTGGCTGTATAAATATCTTCTTTTGAGAAGTGTCTGTTTATATCTTTGCCCACTTTTTGATGGGGTTGTTTGTTTTTTTCTTGTACATTTGTTTACATTCCCTGTAAATTCTGGATATTAGACCTTTCTCAGATGGATAGATTGCAAAAATTTTCTCCTATTCTATAGGTTGCCTGTTCACTCTGATGATAGTTTCCTTTGCTGTGCAGAAGCTGTTTAGTTTAATTAGATCCCATTTGTCAATTTTGGCTTTTGTTGCAATTGCTTTTGGTGTTTCAGTCATGAAGTCTTTGTCCATGCCTATGTCCTCAATGGTATTGCCTAGGTTTTCGTCTGGGGTTTTTATGGTTTTAGGTCTTATGTTTAAGTCTTTAATCCATTTTGAGTTAATTCTTGTATAAGGTGTAAGGAAGGGGTCCAGTTTCAGTTTTCTGCATATGGCTAGCCAGTCTTCCAAACACCATTTATTAAATAGGGAATCCTTTCCCCACTGCATGTTTTTGTCAGGTTTATCAAGATCATATAGTTGTATATGTGTGGTGTTATTTCTGAGGCCTCTGTTCTGTTCCATTGGTCTATATATCTGTTTTGGTAGCAGTACCATGCTGTTTTGGTTACTGTAGCCTTGTAGTATAGTTTGAAGTCAGGTAGTGTGATGCCTCCAGCTTTGTTCTTTTTGCTTAGGATTGTCTTGCCTATACAGGCTCTTTTAGGGTTCCATATGAAATTTAAAGTAGTTTTCTCTAATTCTGTGAAGAAAGTCAATGGTAGCTTGATGGGAATAGCATTGAATCTATAAATTACTTTGGGCAGTATGACCATTTTTATGATTGATTCTTCCTATTCATGAGCATGGAATGTTTTTCCATTTGTTTGTGTCCTCTCTTATTTCCTTGAACAGTGGTTTGTAGTTATCCTTGAAGAGGTCCTTCACATCCCTTGTAAGTTGGATTCCTAGCATTTTATTCTCTTTGTAGCAATTGCAAATAGGAGTTCACTCATGATTTGGCTCTCTGTCTATTCTTGGTGTATAGAAATGCTTGTGATTTTTGCACATTGATTTTGTATCCTGAGACTTTGCTAAAGTTGCTTACCAGCTTAAGGAGATTTTGGGCTGAGATGATGAGATTTTCTAAATATACAATCATGTCATCACAAACAGAGACAATTTGACTTCCTCTCTTCCTATTTGAATACCATTTATTTCTTTCTCTTGCCTAACTGCCCTGGCCAGAACTTCCAATACTATGTTGAATAGGAGTGGTGAAAGAGGGCATCCTTGTCTTGTGCCAGTTTTCAAAGGGAATGCTTCCAACTTTTGCCCATTCAGTATGATATTGGCTGTGGGTTTGTCAAAAATTGCTATTATTTGAGATATGTTCAATCAATACCTAGTTTATTGAGTGTTTTTAGCATGAAGAGGTGTTGAATTTTATTGGAGGCCTTTTCTGCATCTATTGAGATAATCATGTGGTTTTTGTCATTGGTTCTGTGTATGTGATGGATTACATTTATTGATTTGCGTATGTTGAACCAGCCTTGCATCCCAGTGATGAAGCCAACTTGATCACAGTGGATAAGCTTGTTGATGGGCTGCTGGATTTGGTTTGCCATTATTTTATTGAGGATTTTTGCATCAATGTTCATGAGGAATATTGGCCTGAAGTTTTCTTGAATTTTGTTGTGTCTCTGCGAGGTTTTGGTATTAGGATGACACTGGCCTCCAAAAATGAGTTAGGGAGGAGTCCCTCTTTTTTTATTGTTTGGAATAGTTTCAGAAGGAATGGTACCAGCTCCTCTTTGTACCTCTGGTAGAATTCGGCTGTGAATCCATCTGGACCTGGGCTTTTTTTACTGCCTCAATTTCAGAACTTGTTATTGGTCTATTCAGGGATTCGACTTCTTCCTGGTTTAGTCTTGGGAGGGTGTATGTGTCCAGAAATTTATCCATTTCTTCTAGATTTTCTAGTTTATTTGTGTAGAGGTGATTATAGTTTTCTCTGATGGTAGTTTATATTTCTGTGGGATCAATGGTGATACCCCTTTTATTATTTTCTATTGTGTATATTTGATTCTTCTCTCTTCTTTATTAGTCTGGCTAATGGTCTATCTATTTTGTTAATCGTTTCAAAAAATCAGCTCCTGGATTCATTGACTTTCTAAAGGGTTTTTCATGTCCTTATCTCCTTCAGTTCTGCTCTGATCTTAGTTATTTCTTCCCTTCTGCTAACTTTTGAATTTGTTTGCTCTTGCTTCTCTAGTTCTTTTAATTGTGATGTAGGATGTCGATTTTAGATCTTTCCTGCTTTCTCTTGTGGGCATTTAGTGCTATAAATTTCCCTTTAAACATTGCTTTAGCTGTGTCCCAGAGATTCTGGTACATTGTGTCTTTGTTCTCATAGTTTCAAAGAACTTATTTGTTTCTGCCTTACTTTCTTTATTTACCCAGTAGCCATTTAGGAGCAGGTTGTTCAGCTTCCATGTAGTTGTGTAGTTTTGAGTGAGTTTCTTAATCCTGTATTCTAATTTGATTGCACTGTAGTCTGAGGGGTTGTTATGATTTCCATTCTTTTACATTTGCTGAGAAGTGTTTTACTTCCAATTATGTGGTTGATGTTAGAAAAAGTGCTATGTGGTGCTGAGAAGAATGTATATTCTGGTGATTTGGGGTGGAGAATTCTGTAGTTGTCTGTTAGGTCCGCTTGATCCAGAACTGAGTCAAGTCTTGAATATCCTTGTTAATTTTCTCTTGTTGATCTGCCTAATATTGACAGAGGGGGGGTTAAAGTCTCCCACTATTATTGTGTGGGAGTCTAAGTCTCTTTGTACATCTCTAAAAACTTGCTTTATGACTCTTGGTGCTCCTGTATTGGGTGCATATATATTTAGGATAGTTAGTTCTTCTTGTTGCATTCATCCATTTACCATTGTATAATGCCCTTCTTTGTCTTTTTTATCTTTGTTGGTTTAAAATCTGTTTTATCAGAGATGAGGATTGCAACCACTGCTTTTTTTTTTTTTTTTTTTTTTTTTTTTTTTTTGATATCAGGATGACACTGGCCTCAAAAAATGAGTTAGGGAGGAGTCCCTCTTTTTCTATTGCTTGGAATAGTTTCAGAAGAAATGGTACCAGCTCCTTTTTGTATCTCTGGTAGAATTCTTACCATTTGCTTGGTAAATATTCCTCCATCCCTTTATTTTGAGCCTATGTGTGTCTTTGCATGTGAGATGGGTCTCCTGAATACAGCACACCAAAGGTCTTGACTCTTTATCCAATTTGCCAGTCTGTGTCTTTTAATTGGGGCATTTAGTCCATTTACATTTAAGGTTAGTATTGTTATGTGTGAATTTGATCCTGTCTTCATGATGCCAGCTGGTTATTTTGCACATTAGTTGATGCAGTTTCTTCATAGGTTCGTTGGTCTTTATATTTTGGTATGTTTTTGCAGTGGCTGGTACCGGTTTTTCCTTTCCATATTTAGTGCTTCCTTCAGGAGCTCTTGTAAGGCAGGCCTGGTGGTGACATAATCCTTTACAGACAAGCAAATGCTGAGGGATTTTATTTCCCGTTCACTTATGAAGCTTAGATTGGCTGGATATGAAATTCTGGGTTGAAAATTGTTCCCTTCAAGAATGTTGAATATTGGCCCCCACTGTCTTCTGGCTTATAGGGCTTCTGCAGAGAGATTTGCTGTTAGTCTGATGGGCTTCCCTTTGTGGGTGACCTGACCTTACTCTCTGGCTTCCCTTAACATTTTTTCCTTCATTTCAGCCTTGGTGAATCTGATGATTATGTATCTTGAGGTTACTCTTCTCAAGGAGTATCTTAGTGGTGTTCTCTGTATTTCCTGAATTTGAATGTTGACCTGTCTTGCTAGGTTGGGGAAGTTCTCCTGGATAATATCCTGAGGTGTGTTTTCCAACTTGGTTCCATTCTCCCCATCACTTTCAGGTACACCAGTCAATCGTAGGTTTGATCTTTTCACATAGTCCCATATTTCTTGGAGGATTTGTTCATTCCTTTTCATTCTTTTTTCTCTAATATTGTCTTCATGCTTTATTTCATTAAGTTGATCTTCAATCTCTGATATCCTATCTTCCACTTGATTGATTCGGCTATTGATACTTGTGTATGCTTCACAAAGTTCTCGTGCTGTGTTTCTCAGCCCCATCACATCATTTATGTTCTTCTCTAAACTGGTTATTCTAGTTAGCAGTTCCTATAACCTTTTATTAAGGTTCTTAGCTTCCTTGCATTGGGTTAGAACATGCTCCTTTAGCTCAGAGGAGTTTATTATTACCCACATCCTGAAGCCTACTTCTGTCAATTTGTCAAACTCATTCTCCATCTAATTTTGTTGCCTTGCTGGTGAGGAGTTGTGCTCCTTTGCAGGAGAAGAGGTGTTCTGGTTTTTGGAATTTTCAGCATTTTTGCACTGGTTTTCCCTCATCTTCATGGATTTACCTAACTTTGATCTTTGATGTTGATGACCTTTGGATGAGATTTTTGCATGGGCGTCCTTTTTGTTGATGTTGATGTTATTGCTTTCTGTTTGTTAGTTTTCCTTCTAACAGTCAGGCCCCTCTTCGGCAGGTCTGTTGGAGTTTGCTGGAGGTCTACTCCAGTCCCTGTTTGCCTGGGTATCACCAGTGGAGGCTGCAGAACAGCAAATATTGCTGCCTGCTCCTTCCTCTGGAAGCTTCGTCCCAGAGGGGCACCCACCAGATGCCAGCCAGAGCTCTCCTGTATGAGGTGTCTGTCAATCCCTGCTGGGAGGTGTCTCCCAGTCAGGAGGCACAGGGGTCAGGGACCCACTTGAGGGGGAAGTCTGTCCCTTAGCAGAGTTCAAGCACTGTGCTGGGAGATCTGCTGCTCTCTTCAGAGCCAACAGGCAGGAACGATGAAGCCTGCTAAGGCTGCGCCCACAGCCACCCCTTCCCCTAGGTGCTCTGTCCCAGGGAGATGGGAGTTTTATCTATAAGTCTCTGACTAGGGCTGCTGCCTTTCTTTCAGAGATGCCCTGCCCAGAGAGGAGGAATCTAGAGAGGCAGTCTGGCTACAGCAGTTTGGCAGTACTGCAGTGGGCTCCACCCAGTCCAAACTTCCCAGTGTCTTTGTTTACACTGTGAGGGGAAAACTGACTACTCAAGCCTCAGTGATGGCAGACGCCTCTACCCCCACCAAGCTCTAGTGTCACAGGTCAACTTCAGACTGCCGTGCTGGCAGTGAGAATTTCAAGCCAGTGGATCTTAGCTTGCTGGGCTCCATGGGGGTGGAACCCCCTGAGCATGACCGCTTGGTTCCCTGGCTTCAGCCCCCTTTCCAAGGGAGTGAACGGTTCTGTCTCGCTGGGATTCCAGGTGCCACTGGGCTATGAAAAAAAAATCTCCTGCGGCTAGCTCAGTGTCTGCCCAATTGGCTGCCCAGTTTTGTGCTTGAAACCCAGGGCCCTGGTGGTGTAGGCACCCGAGGGAATCTCCTGGTCTGTGGGTTGCAAAAACTGTGGGAAAAGTGTAGTATCTGGGCCGGATAGCACCATCTCTCATGGCACAGTCCCTCACAGCTTCCCTTGGCTAGGGGAGGGAATTCCCTGACCCCTTGCACTTCCCATGTGAGGCGATGCCCCACCCTGCTTTGGCTCGCCCTCCATGGGCTGCACCCACTGTCTAACCAGTCACAGTGAGATGAGCTGGGTACCTCACTTGGAAATGCAGACATTTCCTGCCTTCTATGTTGTTCTCACTGGGAGCTGCAGACCGGAACTGTTCTTATTCGGCCATCTTGCCAGATCCCACCCGCCTCCCGCACAATTTCAAAACAAAATGTAAATGCAGAAATCCTTCATGACACTGAAGTTGAGTCAAAGACCCCAACTGGTGATGCCCCTTCCCAGGCATCACAGACGGAGCCCTGTCTGCAGGGGATGGCTGCCCTGCCTAACAACTGAAACACTGGGGAGCCCAACTCCAGGCTGCTGAGCATAAGACTGAGAGTTCTGGGGTGGCTAGATCTTTTCCCTTTAAATCCTAATTACTGTACACCAGTGGGTCCCAATGTAGGATTAAACAAACATGTTTGACCACAAAAACCTATATTTCCTAACCTCGGGTGGGAAAGAGCGTGCCCAGCGGAAAGGTGTGATCCAACACACAACTGGGGAAACATTGCTGTATTGAAACCCAGAGCTGAGGCCAGAATCTTATCTGAACTGTCAACCATGCAGGGCTGTTCTGAGAATTCGATTAAATAACAGATATGAAGTTTGTGTCATATAGTATGTATTCAATATGCACCCATATGAAAATATGTGCCCTCCAGCACTTCTAAATCTTGCTAGGGGGTGAGTAGGCTGGGTGTTAATGTAGCCATTTCACAGATAAAGAAACTGGGGTTTGGAGAGATTAAATTACATGGTAATAGGGCACAGCTAGGAAGTGAGAGCCACCATGGCAGGAATTGACCTTGGCTTTTGGGCTCCAATTTCAATTAACCCAACTCACCACTTCCCAAAACAGTCAGCCTTGGTCTGGTCTTACTCACTCCACAAGCTAACATTTTACAAACACTGAGTCACAGCTTTCCCTCCCCTTGGGCTGCACCAACATACAGCATGGTCCATCACGGGCTCAGATCCCACCCTCTTCTGGGGCCCTTTATGGGAATGCACAAAGCCCAGACTTCCAGGAACAGAGTGAGTAGATAAGGCATCTACGCTGACCTAGCCTGATCCCATCAAGGGACCCGACCTGCGTGAGCTGGAGAGATCTATGACGCTGCCAAGGACCACATCAGAAAGACAATATTTGAAGAGTGAAAGGTTCTCCAAAGAATGGAAAATCCTTGGAGTGAGCGAGTGCCTGAGGTTCTTGAGGCATGACTCATGCTGGGTGGGCCAGGACATGAGCTGTAGATACCGGGTAAAAGAGGTAGCAAAATATTAATAGCAGAATGTCAGAGCTGGGAGGGATCTAGGAGATTGACTTTTCTGAGGTCACACAGATAATAAGGGGCAGCACTGAGACCTGAATCCAGATGCTCTCATTCATTCATTCATTCATTCAGTATTTACTGAGCACTTACTACAGGCCTGGAGGGAGATTAGGTACTAAGAATACAGCAGTAAACAAAACAAGCAGGCTTTCTGTCTTCCCCATAGCTGACTTTCCAGCAGGGAGGAAAGACAATTGAACAGACAATTGGTGAAAATGATGAGAAGTGCTCTGATGAGGTAGCACAGAGGAGAGTGGTCTCATTTGTCTGGCATCAAGAAAGGCCTCCTGGATTAAATCATTGCTCAGTTTAGAGCTAAAGACTAAAAAAAAACCCAGTGGAAGGGGATTTGGTAGAAGGGGAAGACTCCAGACAAAGAAGTCTCTACAGCTCAGGCACAGACTAGACCCTTATTTTGAAGCTGCATACAATATGGGTGCTTCCACACTCAAGAAGCATATGGTGCCCAAAGGAGCACAAGGAGGGACCCTCCATCTACAAGGAGGTGACAGCATCCGACTTGGATTTTAAACGATAAGTAGGATTTTAATAAGCACAGAAAAGGAGATGGATATTCCAAGGCTGAAGAGATAGCATGGGTAAAAGGCGTAGAAGAAGGGGAGCCTGTGCCAGGAATTGACCTTCCTGAAGGAGGTCAATAAATGTTTGTCCCAGCAACTGTCAGTGAAATCCTCCCAGCTGCAGATTCTCAACAGCCATTGCTTCAGTACAGCACAAAGAAAGGGAGGGCCCTGCATCACTGTCCACACTTGCTGCCCCATGCTGTCCCATGGCCGGCACAGCCACAGCAGCCTAGCAGCTAGCATCCATGGGCTCCCCAGTGTCCCCAACCCTAAAGACCCCAGTGGGCCAGGAAATAGAAGAAACACAATCTTTCAAGTAATTAATATCCCATGATAATGGGATAAACGGGGCAGATATGACGTCTAACAGAAGGATGAAAATTCTAATGCCCCATCCAGCCTCACAGATAACAAACACATTAAAGAAAGCAGTGCTAAAGATCAACAGCCTCAGTGATTGATTAGTGAAAATCAGGGTGGGGCTTTCTTGGGGGCACAAAGACAGTGCTGCTTCTAGTTCATGCCTCCATTTGCAAGGGCTGAAAGGGGAGAGAGCCAAACAAACCCACACGTTCATCTCTGGAGCTTTGAGACTGTGAGTCCAGGACACTCCTGAGCCCTCTGCACAACAGGCAAGGCATTTAAAAGAGACTTCTAGAAGAACAAACTGCAGCATTTGTATCTTGCGGTGCATTCCTGTGTGTCAACCTCCGTGATAGAATATTTATGAGCTGTGCTTGGTACAAAATATGGTGCCCAACCACTACAGAGGTGGAATGCTGAATTTCAGACTTTTTAAATAAATCTTTTCTGGACTTGTTTGCAGACTGAGATTGCAGTTTGTTTTTTAACTCGAATGCTATGCTTATGATACTAAAGAATTTAGTTTTAAATAAAAATTTGTATTGTACTTAAAACCATAATAATTACTAAGAGTTATTGAATGCTAAGTTTAGGTGATCTAGGCACAGCATTGCTAATGTTTACAACACCCCTGATAGATAGCCCTCCCCCGTACCCCCAGTTTTAGAGATGAATCCTGGAGGGGCTTAGAAACGGGTCTCTGTTTCCAAAGCCCATGTTCTTTCCATTAAGCAGTACAAGAGGAGGAGGTGGGTAGGTGGACTCTTGCCTGGGATACAGGGAACTGCCTGGTTAGCTGACATATGAGGCATAGAATGGGAGCAGCAAGGGATGCACCTAGAAAGGGAAGAGGATGCCTATCCGGAGCCTGCATGATCCCATGGAAGATGTTGCAGGAACCACAAAGCAGAAGTGCAGTGCCTCTTCCCAAACAGCCTACAGACCCAGAACCCAACTTCAAGTTTGAGGCTGAGAGCTCCCTTTAGGGAAGGACGAACAAGCCCTTATTTCTCAACCCTGCAGACACAGTGCTAATGATAGTAGGATAAGCCATTCCCACCCCGTGCTCTCACATTGTCTCCAACCCTATCAGACTGTATTGTGATAATCTGTTTTCCTGTCTTGTGGACCATGGCTCTTTCCAACTGCTCCTCTCTTAATTTCAGACAGCTCAATACCAGAGACTCAGGTGTGTGTTCCTGGAGCCCTAACCACTGCCTCAGATCGAAATGTCAGCCAAGGACATGTATATCTCCCTGGTTCCAGCAATCCCTACTTTAGGCCAGCTAAGCTTCTTTGTTTACATTTCTGCATCTGTAGCTGAGTGGACAGCAGTACTCTGTCTGGGGAGAAGGGGAAAGTGTAGAACAGCCGGTTCTAGGAGCTAGTCAGTACCCACTCAGCTATAGAAACTATTAAAATTTTATAACCCAGCATCTGCCCAGGAGCTGATAGGGCAGAAGCCCTGTGTGTGAATTACATTGTGCTCCTGAATAAGATTCATTCATACATTTCTGTATTCATTTACCTGTGGTGTTTTAAGCCTTGTGTTGGACCCTGGGGACGAGGAAGATGTGGGTCATAGTCAAGATTTTTCTGACTTCCTTTTTCCTTTCAAGCAGTTTAACAGCTTCCTGCCCCAGTGTCCAGAGCTTCCCTATCTCAATATCATCGGCAGTATCATCGGCACCTTTGCTCACCTTTACTGAGTACTTACCATGCATGTAAGTACGGGTAAGCACATGTAACATGCATGCAAGCACAGGTAAGCTCATGTAACATGCATGCAAGCACAGGTAAGCACATGTAACATGCACATAAGACCAGGAATGGTGTCCTGTGCTAAGAGCTTCCTACTGTTTATCTTAGTTGATCTTTACCATAACCATAAGCTAGATAGTATTGTTAGCCCATTTTACGGATAAGGAGACTGAAGCACACCTATTCATTCATTGCACAAATATTTAATCAAAAACCTGTCCAAAGTACAGAATAGTCTCTGAGGGAAAGGGAAAGGAAAATAAATGAACATTTATTAAGTATCTACTACATGTCAGGAACTATATGTTTTCCAAATGTTACCTCATTTAATCCTTCCAACAACACTGGGAAATGGGTTTTGATTTCCCCATTTTTACAAATGTGCCTGGGATTCCACAGATTAAACCCCCTTCCCATGGAACTGACATTCTAATCATGGAAGAAAACAACTGGGGTAACATGGGAAATCCATGAATTGGGGTAAATACTAAGAAGGAAAAGCATGCGGGAGATGGGGGACAGAGTGCGGTTGGGGAAGGGAGGGGTAGGGAGGGGAGGGAGGGAAGGCTTTTGAGGACGGGAGGCCAGAGACAGGGATGGAGGGAGGGGCGAGTTCTCTGAGGCCCTAGGTGGAGAGCAGCCCACACCCAGCGCACTCGCTGTTCGCATTTCTGTCTCCCCCAACAATCAGTGCATCCAACCTCTAGGATTTATTCCAGAGCAAGATTGGCACTAGAGTTTTCTCCAAGGGCAGTTCACCCTGCTGATTACAAAACCTGTTGAAAAGCCTTCTGGGGCCCATCCAGGCAAAGCAGAAAAGCCTGCCCCATGTGGCAGGAGCTCCAGAAGTTTGTGATCCTTGCCTATTAGACACCTTGACAGCCAACTGGATATCCAGCAACTGCATAGCCACCTTCAGGACCCAGGAAATTGTTTCCCCAAACCATCTGCCCCACTGTGGTCCTCTCACAGAATGGAAAACAGTCTACAAAGTTCATAATGGCTTTTCGCGTCTTATCAGTTACCACTGCAGGTTGGAAACTCCCAGAGGGCAAGAGCCACATCTTACTTATTTCTGTATCCCCAGTTCCTAATCCTGGGCCTGACATTAAGTAGATGCCTAGTAAGTGTTTGTTGAGTGAAATAGAATATTCACCCTGATAGTGAACCAAAATGTGCTTCTCTGAAAACCATATTTTTTATCTTTTCTTTATTTATATAAAATCCCCCTCTTTGGGGACTACATTAAAAAAATTCTTCCACACATCAACCCTTATGGGAAAAGGAAGGAAGGAGTGGGGGGATGGAATTAAACATTTATTGAGCACTTATTAAGTGTCAAGCTTTATGGTTTGTAAATGTTATCTTACTTAATCCTCCTACCAACCCTCTGAAGTAGTTATTCTTTATGGATGCAGAAATAATCCCCAGCAGCCCTTGGTTATTATTCTGGCTCTGCCTTTTGTTACTGGGTGCCCCCACTGTCTCTGGCCTCTAGTCTTTTCAGTTGACCGCTCTGCTTCCCCCAGGGTTTGAAGACAGCAATTACATATCTTCTAAGCCTCTTCTTCTTCATTTCCAGGCTAAATATCTCCAATTACTTTTGACACCTCTCATGATGCAGTAGTGAAGAGTGGCTCTGGAATCAGGACAACCAGGATCCAATGATATTACATCACCTGTGCACAAGTGACTTAACCTTCTGAATGTTGATATTCTATCTGTGTGACATGGGACACTTATGATACCATCCCACTGAGTTGTTATAAACAGCTTAAACAATATAACAAATGTAAGTACCTAGCACTCTGGGGTAGGTTTGGAAAGGGGGTGATTCGTTTTCTTCCCATTATAAGGGCCACAGCCAATCTCCCTATAACAAAAGACAGGTTCACAAGATAAAAACATAACCAATTTATTTGATCATCATTTCATGTGATGTGGGAGCCTTCAGAATGGAGACCCTAATGTACAGGAAAAACTACCTATGTTCATGCTGAGGTCCAGTGAAGAATAAATAGAAAAGTGTAGAACTGTGATTGGACAAAAGGGTGTGATCTAAAAACAGATCGACTGAGCAAGGAAACTCAGCAAGGCCTTTCTGCTCAGATTCTTCTTGGCCTCTCTGTGCAGCCTTCCTTCCTTCCCGGTACGGGGCAAGACCCTTTCTGAAATAGGGGTCTTATGTCCTGCAATCAAACAAGATCGCTCAGAGAATTTCTTCACGGCCAGTTCTTACACAGAAAAGCAGGGAAAAGTTAGAGTAATATTTTTAGGTTTTACGGTTGGCTTTGGGGAAAAGGGGATCTGGTTTCTATAATTCACCTTGAAGAATAGGAATTCTAGTTTCTATGTCTAGCCTCGGGGAAGAATGATAGATGAGAGGCAGGAGGGCAGGAGGAGGTCAGAGAGAAACTTTGATCTGAAGCTGTTTCCAGGGATTTCACTTTTGGGGATCAATTTCTGGGCCCCCACACTGGCACACAGTAGGTCCTCAAAAGATGCTGCCAAAGTTTAGGAAGCTAAAGGTTAGGAACATTTCCCCCACCATTTCAGCTGAATTCATGCCGGTTTGTTCATGACCCTATTTACTTTATGTGACATTCAGAACTGGACATTTTCTGGGCTCCCTTGTTTTCCAGGGAGCATCATAATCTGCCCTGCCAGCCCAAATCCTGCCTCTTGAGAAGAAGTAAGGAACCAGAGCATGTGAACAGGACCAGGGTCACACCACTTCCAGGAACCCATGCAAGCTGTGCTGAGAAATCACAACTCAGGAACTGATTATAAATACACTGGTGTTTACTCAGTATAAGAGGAAAGACAACAGTCTCATCCAAGCACTTGGACTTTTGTTACATTAACTGCTTCAGAACAACCATCAGGAAAATCTTTTCCATCTCACGAGGGTTGGTGTTTATTGCATCCAGGAACAGATCATCATCCTGTGGTACTTTGTTAAATCTCAGAGGCACATTTTTTTAACATTTAAATGTTTCTAAAATTGGAATGCATCTGATAATCAATGTACAATAATGATAATAATAACAAGTGAAATAGTGCCAAGAATTCCTCCTTCCTAAAAGCTGTAATCAATTTGATGGTGAACCTTAAAACAGATAAGGCTACCATTGATTGAGCACCTACTATTTACTATCTGCTAGACCCAATGCTATATGCTCAGAACTTTAATTTTTATTTTTTCTTTTCCATTTTAGTATTTTTTTCTCTTTATTAAAAAATCATCACTGAAAAATCTTTTAAAATACCTGCAACTAAAGTATCCCCAAGAACCCCAGTCTAAGAGGAGTTTAAAGAGCCCCTCTAGAATCTAAGGAGGCATAACCCAATTGGAACCTCAATTGCATAATTGCAGAAACAAAAGCAAACTCTACCCACATCACTACTGGTATTTCTGAGACTCCCAGGACAGCTTACATACTCTTGGTAGCCCCCTATCCTTCCAGATCTCTGCTCTAAGCTTCTCTGCCATTCATTTCTGCCTGTCCAAGCTCCCCCAAGCTGCCATAGCATCTTCCCTGGTCTTCCCACATGTAGATATTGGCCTGCCCCTAATTCCCCAAAGCACAGGAAACACCAAACCAGAGTGTTTAACCAACTCTACTTAAGTCCTAAGGAGACTACAAAGCCACTATAATAGAAGAAATATAAAATAAAACAGTGGGTAACAGGTGGGCTCATCCCAAACACCAAGAGACTTTGCTCAAGAGACTCCCATTTTCAGCCACAGCAGATGGCATTTTGCTCAGTCCATGCTAACCTTACATTAGAGGACTCCCTCTCACCTCCTCTCTCCTCCAGGTTTCAGGACTGTAATCTTCTCCTGTGGGCCCTGCCTGAGGAAGCCCAAAATTTGGTATTATATTAATTAAGATAATACTAGCTGCTACTAGGGCAAAATCTTGAAATCTCAAAGGCTTAAAAGAATAGTTCTACTTTTGGAAAGCCCAGTCAGTCTGTAAAATCCAGTCACAGAGCTCTGCTCCACACAGTGACTCAGGGACCCAGGCTCACAGAGGTTCTGCCGCTTTCTACAAGGTGGCAAGTTTGCCTGGGTATCAATATCCAGTCTGCAGACAAGAAAAGAAAGGGAATTATATGTAAAAGGTTTTCTGTGGGCCATGCCTGCAGGTGGCACATGAAATTCCCACCCATGTTTCACTGACTGAAACACAGGGCCATGCCTCATTGCAAGAAAGACTGGGACATGTAATTTGTGCCCCAGAGTAAAAGAAAGCAGATTTGCAGAGTGGCAGAACAACTAGCCACTCTGCCATGGGCAGCATCATGGCTCACTTTCTTGCTCTGTATCGAGGAGTACAGCACCTTTTAGTTGATTATACACAACACCCCCCGCCCCCACCTTTGCATCAACCTTTCCTTTCAGGCTAACTTCTGGCCATGCCCTCTCATAACCAAAATTCTATTTAAATATTTCTCCTAAACAATAAATCTCCCTCAAAAAAGTAAATTATTCTGCCAACACTAGAATTCATAAATACTTGCTATTATTTTTATGCATATTTTTGTCCCCCTACATAGAAAAATAATGTTTAAAGAAATCATTCATAATCTTACAACTCTACTAGTTATAACGTGTTTCTTTCCTTTATATTTCCACATGCTTAAATTTTGTGCAACCTTCAAGGTCTTGTTCAAATGATGTCCCTTCCTTGAACGTGAGGCTCTTAAATAACTTACCCAAGGTCACATGACTAGGAAATAGTACAGCCAAACTTCTAGCCTTAATGTAATCCCAGAGCTAGGGCTCTTGCCAGTGCACCATGCTACTTGCAAGCTTAATAACTTGTCTGAAGTCACCCAGTGACTGAGTCATCCTGGGACTCAGGTGAGAGGTCAAATGTAGATAAACTGGATCTATCTGTTAGGTCCCAAAGCCTGTGCTTTGGTCACTATGTGAAACAGGAATGTTTCAGTTGAAATGGTGAGGGAGATGTTCAAAACCTCTTCAGCAGCAGCATATTTTAAGGACTTACTGTGTGCCAGTGTCAGGCCCAGAAATTGATCCCCCAAAGTGAAGCCCTCAGAAGCAGCCTTGAATCAGAGTTTCTCTCTGACCTTCTCCTGCCCTCCTGTCTCTCAGCCCTCATATCTCAAAACCCTCCCCTCTGCTGCTAACGTGCTCCTGAATGCAAGCTTAGTGGATGTAATGAGATTCACAAGGGGGTTTAGCTGCCAGCAAAGCTGCAGGAAATGGCATGAATCAACCCTATCCACAATTTGTCCCCACGAAATGACTTGCAACACATGACCAGTTCAAGAGAAACTACCCAGAGTGGGATCTATGACAAGGTGTCATGCTCCTTGTAATTTCCCCTGACCTTTCACTTACCCCTGTCTACTGTATGCTAATTATCTGTATCTAAAGTATAAAGTGACCCATCTATGACGTGTCTTATCCTTCTTATTAGAGCCTCTGTTTCCAGAAGGCAGGAGCCCATGTTAGATTCCTCTTCACTATGGCAAGGCCTGGCCCATAATAACTGTTTAACTCTCTCCCACCCAAAGAAGCAGACAATTATAAGATAGTCAAATTAGAAGTCATCTAAAAGACTTCTGGTCCAGAAAGTCAAATTAGAAGTCATCTAAAAGACTTCTGGTCCAGAACACTGCCCGATTTACAATCCCCTTCCTATTTCACACAGTGACCAAAGCACAGATCTGGGGGCCTAACAGATAGGTCTAGGTTTACATTTCACCTCCACCACTGGGTAGCTTCAGACAAGTTACTAAGCTTATCTTTCGTGAAACCCTAATGAGTTAATGCAGCCCACATTTGATAGCGTATTGATGATATTACTGTTAGTATTATTACTACTGTTGTTATTATTCACCTTCTGACTTCTTCAAATTATTCATCATAGACAGAAGTGAACAAAACCTCTAAAGCCTGAGAACAAAAGGAGGTGGGATTTTGAGTGGCTTCTTGTGACCTTCAGAGAGCAGAGTGGGTAAGTACTCTTTGGGGGAAATCTTGACCCTTCTAAAAATCCCATTAAATCTAAACACACATCTGTTAGCACACACCAAGCATGCAGTCTCTGCTTTCACCCAGAATTGAGTAGTACAAGGAGAAATATTATATCCAGTAACTCATATGGAACTATTTATCCCCAATCACTTTGTGCTTTTCCTTAAACTTTTCCACAGTCTTTGGTTTCAAAGTCCATTTCAGAACGACTGAATTTTCTTGCAAAGTAAGTTCCCTTACCCCCACCAAAAAAAAAAAAAAAAAAAAAGATTGTTTTAGGAAAATCTCCTCGGGGCATAGAGATTATGAGTTTCCAAACTTTCTTTCCCCCATTCTTCTTTTTCTTTTAAATAAAAATTGCCCAGGAAACCAAGATTCATTAAGAGTGATGGGGAAAAAAAATATGACTGAGTTGAAAGGAGTCTGTGGCTTACTGCTTAGCAAGGAACTTATAAAAAGTCTTTTAGGGGAATCTTATGGAATCAGAGAATATGAGGACTGAGAAGGCACTAAGAGACTATATAGTTTCAATCTCTTCATTTGGAGGTGGAGATACTGAGATCCACAAGAGAGTAATTAATTAGCCAAAATGATACAGCAAGTCAGCCAAAGAAATGAGACTTGAATTCAGGTCTCCTAAATCCCAGGTCCTCTAGAAAGCAGAGCCTGAGGCAGAGGTTAAGCTATTGATGCTTTACTTGGCAGGGTACAAACCCAGGCAGTCAGAGTGAAGACAAAGGGAAGTGACGAAGGAAAAGTACTAAGCGATGAGAAGCAGCGAAGAGCATTCTCGTACCAGCTCCCATTTCACAGAGACACAGCACAACCACCAGCAAGCAGGTTACTCAGCACTTAGACCTTCTCAAGAGCTGCAAGGAGAAACTGCACCTCTAGGTTGGGGATCTAGAAACTGCATCATCCCTGACCAATGACAGATGGTGAGTTAGTGGATAAACAACCCACTTTCCTCATCCCCCACCCCAAGTTGGGATAATTTAGTTATTTGCTGGGATACTATTAGGCACATACACTGGCTCCCAGATCAAGTGAACAATGCACCTCAATTTGCCTGAAACTTTTCTGGATATTGCACTGAAAGTCCCCGCAAACCCCTCAGTTCCAGTCAAACTGTAACAGTTGGGTGCCCTACACCAGAAGACCCCAGCAAAACTCAGCTCTAGTTGTTCCCTGGGTAACACACTTGAAAACACAGTTTTTACTGGGTCCTGTCCGTTTCTGTCTCACTTTCATATAGGTGTTTCCTGGGATCATTACCTAATTAAAAATGACTTGCATTTCGATCTTTGTCTCAGAGTCTGCTTCTGGGGGAACCCTAGTGCCTGGCACATAGTATGCTCTCAGTAAATGTCATAAGTATTCACATCATAGCAACATGAAGTCTTCTCCCTGTTTGTTTCCGTTGCTTTGGAAACTTGACCAAAGTCATGGTTACGTGAGCCCAGTCTGCTGTACACATACACACACACACACACACACACACACAAACCCTCAGTATCCAGTCAGTCAGCAGTCTGAAGGGGAGTGTGAATCTCGTTCTGCCCACCCTAGGCAGCAGAATAGTACCTGAGATATTTAGCTGGGGCCTACTCGGTCCAGGTATGTGTATATAATAATATTTGCACTGCCGCGGTAACTAAGGACTCTTGTTACTCTAATGAACTTGTTGAGAGTGACTAAAGTACTCATAGAATAGAAAACTATATGCAATTTACAATACAGTTTATTTACATTCTATTTGTCTTTAATAATGCAGAGGCAAAATTCCTTAACGTGTGATCAAGTAAGCCACCTACCTACATCCAAAACATATTGGAAGAAGTGGTTTGTTCAAAATGCTGATTCCAGGGTTCCACCACAGACTCCTAGATGAGTGCTGCTGGAGTAAGGCCTGCAAGTGGCATGTTAAACAGTCTCTCCAAGTGATTCTTGAGCTCATTAAACTTTGAGAGCTCCTTCCCTGACAATTAACTATGTTACACTCTCTCGGCTCCTTCTCACTGAGGAACCAGTGAATGTTCTTCTCGGTCTTAGTTGGACCCAGGTGGATTTCTCCCCACGCTCCACCTGATTAATACAATTTCCTTTCTGAGAGGTCCTTGCTGCTCTTGTCCTATGCTTGTCTAAGCTGACACAGTCACTTTCTAGGAGAGCTGTGTTTTTTAATGTCTGCTTCAGAACTTGTTAAAGGTTCACTCTAAGTGCACGACTTTATCCACCATGTGGCCCAGGGTACATGCATACTGCTCAAGACGAATTCTTTCGGCTGTCACTTTGCCAGTCTCCTCTGATCTGGACCTCTGTGCCTGGCTAGATTGGGTGCAAAGAAGGGTCAAGACACAGGCCATTGTGTCTGGGCTGCCATGATGGAAGAATGTTTTGTTCTACTTCCTTCAGTAGTAAGAGAAGTTCATCTCTAGGACAACGTGGAGATGGATTTTCCTTACTAGGTAGGACTCTAATGCCCTGACCATTCCTGCGTGATGCCACCAACTCCCCTCTCTCAGCTGAAACGGCTCCAGCATTCCTGATTAACCATGTACCTCCAACCAAGGGGTCTCCTCACATATTTCCTTGGTTTCCTCTACCACCCTGTGAATGCTTTAAGGCCAAGAGTCATGTGTCATGGGCCCTTTAGTCACCAGCAACAAACCCAAATCTTGGCTCATAAATGAGGTTCCATTGATATTTGCTGAATGAATGGTCAATTTCTTTTTATCCCTTTTTTATTTTTTTAGAGACAGGGTCTCACTCTGTTGTCCAGGCTGGAGTGCAGTGACACAGTCATAGCTTACTGAGCTTCAAACTCCGGGGCTCAAGCGATTCTCCCGCATCGGCCACACAAATAGCTGGGACTACAGGTGGACACCACCATGCCTGGCCAAAACGGTCAATTTCTATGCCATTATCTTGCTTTAATTTTCTTCACAGCACTTACCATTATCTAAGATTATTGCTTACTGGTGTAGTCATTTATTGCCTACCTACCTACACACACACAAATTAAACCCTTTGCTAGTGTCATGGGCTGAACTGTGTCCCTCACGCCCAAATTCATATGTTGAAGTCCTAACCCCCAGTACCTCAGAATGTGACCTTATTTTAAAGTAGGAGCATTGCAAATGTAATGAGCAAAGATAAAGTCATTAGAGTGAGCCTTAATCCAATATGACTGGTGTCTTTATACATAGAGGAAAGACCATGTGAAGACAGAGGGAGAAGACAACCATCCACAAGCCAAGGAGAGAGGGCCCAGAAGAAATCAACCCCTGTTAACACCTTCCAGCCTTCAGAATTGTAAGAACATAAATTTCTCTTGTTCAAGCCACCCAGTCTGTGGTATTTTGTTCCAGCAGCCCTAGCAGACTAATACAACAAGAAAGAAATGTGTCTGCCTTGGCTACCATGTATCCCAGCACCCTGAACAGTTCCTGCCACACAGCAGGTTCTTAGTAAATCATTTTCAAGTGAACATTTTTAACATACAATTTGTTGTTTTCCCCAAATGCACATGTGATTTCATACATCTAAGCCTTTGCATATGCTATTCCTCAGCCCAAAACACCCATCCCCATTCCCTGTAATCTGCCCCCATCCAGCCAAAGAAATCTTATTTTTCCTTTGAAACTCAGTTCAGGCCAGGCACAGTGGCCCAGGCCTATAATCACAGCACTTTGGGAGGCCAGGGCAGGAGGATCACTTGAGTCCAGGAATTCAAAACCAGCCTGAGCAACATTGTGAGACCTTGTCCCTGTAAAAAATTTAAAAATTATCTGGGCACAATGGCGAGCACCTGTAGGCTCAGCTGCTGGTGGGGGCTGAGGCAGGAATATCACTTGACCACAAGAGATCAAGGTTGCAGTGAACCATGACTGTGCCATTGCATTCCAGCCTGAGTGACAAACTGAGACCCTGCCTCAAAAAATAGAAAACAAACCAAAAGAAAACCTCACCTCAGACTCATATTCTCTGTGAGATGTCCTTGACTCCACTGGACAAAATTGGTCACTCTCTTCTCTGTGCTGTTCTGAACTTTGTACGCAGTAATTGTAATTTCTTATCTTAGTTTGTTTTCTGCTGCTGTAACAGAATACCACAGACTGGGTAAGTTATAAAGAAAATAAATTTGTTTTTTACAGTTCTGGAGGTTGAAATTTTCATATTAAGGTGCTAGCATGTGGCGGGGGCCTTTTTGCTACAACATAAGATAGCAGAGGGCATTGCATGGTGAGAGAGCATGAGAGAGAGAGAGATCTCACTTTTATAACAAAACCACTCTGACTAAAATGAATTAATCCATTCATACAGGGCAAAGCCCCCATGATCTAATTAGTTCTTAAAGGTCCTGCCTCCAAAAAGACCTCTACAAGGAAAACTACAAAACACTGCTGAAAGAAATCATAGACAACACAAACAAATTGAAACTCACCTCATGCTCATTGATGGGTAAAACCAATATTGTGAAAATGACCATACTGCCGAAAGCAATCTACAAATTTAATGTAATTCCCATCAAAATACCACCATCATTCTTCACAGAACCAGAAAAAACAATTCTAAAATTCATATGGAACCAAAAAAGGGCCCGCATAGCCAAAGAAAGACTAAGCAAAAGGAACAAATCTGGAGACATCACATTACCTGACTTCAAACTATACTATGAGGCCATCGTCACTAAAACAGCATGGTACTGGTATAAAAATAGGTACATATAAACCAACAGAACAGAATAGAGAACCCAGAAATAAACCCAAATACTTACAGCCAACTGATCTTCAACAAAGCACACAAAAACATAAAGTGGGGAAAGGATACCCTATTCAACAAATTTGTGCTGGGATAATTGGCAAGCCACATGAAGAAGAATAAAACTGGATCCTCATCTCTCACTTTATACAAAAATCAACTCAAGATGGATCAAGGAGTTAAACCTAAGACCTGAAGTTATAAAAATTCTGGAAGATAACACCAGAAAAACCCTTGAAGACATTGGCTTAGGCAAAACCTCATGACCAAGAACCCAAAAGCAAATGAAACAAAACAAAGATAAATAAATGAGACATAATTAAACTAAAAAGCTTCTGCACAGCAAAAGAAACAATCAGCAGCGTAAACAGACAACCCACCAAATGGGAGAAAATCTTCACCATCTGTAGATCAAACAAAGGACTAATATCCAGAGTCTACAAGGAACTCAAACAAATCAGCAAGAAAAAAAAAAAATCCCATCAAAAATTGGGCTAAGGACATGAATAGACAATTCTCAAAAGAAGATATACAAATGGCCAACAAACATATGAAAAAATGCTCAACATCACTAATGATTAGGGAGATGCAAATCAAAACCACAATGTAATACCATCTTACTCCTGCAAGAATGTCCATAATCAAAAAAAAACAAAAAATAATAGATGTTGGAGTGGATGCAGTGAACAGGGAACACTTCTACACTGCTGGTGGGAATGAAAACTAGTACAACCTCTATGGAAAACAATGTGGAGATTCCTTAAAGTACTAAAAGTAGAACTACCATTTGATTCAGCAGTCCCACTACTGGATATCTACTCAGAGGAAAAGAAGTCATTATACGAAAAAGACATTTGTACATGCATGTTAATAGCTGCACAATTCACAATTGTAAAAATATGGAACCAGTCCAAATGTCCATCAATCAATGAGTGGATAAAGAAATTGTAGTATCTATACCACGATTCTACTCAGCCATGAAAAGGAATGAAATAATGGCATTTGCAGCAACCTGGATGGAATTGGAGATCACTATTCTAAATGAAGTAACTCAGGAAAACCAAACATTGTATGTTCTCACTCACAAGTGGGAACTAAGCTATGAGGAGGCAAAGGCATAAGAATGATACAATGGACTTTGGGGACTCAGGAGAAAGGGTGGGAGTGGGGGTGAGGGATAAAAGACTACACATTGAGTACAATGTGTACTGCTCAGGGGATGGGTGTCCCAAAATATCAGAAATCATCACTAAAGAACTTATTCATGTAACCAAACAATTCATGTAATTATTTTAACCAAATTATTCATGTAACCAAACACCTATTCCCAAAAAATCTATTGAATTTTTTTTAAAATAAAGGTCCTACCTCTTAATATTTCTATATGGCAATCAAATTTCAACATGAATTTTGGAGGGGACATTCAAACCATAGCACTGCTAGACTATGAGCTTAACTTCAGAAACCATCTTTGTCTCTAATCCCTGCCATCTAGCTAAGGACCTGGCATGGAGTAGGAGATCAATAATTGAACCACCAGGCCCTATTAATCTAGTCAGTATGCAGACAGTTTCTGTCTGCACGTAACTTATCTACTGATGGAGTACAGATCCATAAATACACATGTCTGGCACACACTAGGTATTCAACTAATACTTACTGGATTTAAACTAATTTACCAAATTGTTGTCATAATATAACATTATTTTGCTTGCTTAGAATGCCCACTCTGCCCTCTCCTTCCAAACTAATGAGCCCCATTTGTCAAGGTAAAACTAAAGCCTAATTCCTTTTAAATGCCTTACCTGACTATTTGCCAAACTCACTGAGCCCCTATAATTATAGCATTTTGGAATATACTTCCCTATAAGGAACATTAAGCCAGCCCAAACCTGTGATCTGGTACAACTTCTATCCTGGACCCCTGAGCACATCATGACTCTGAAGCCTGTACTGACCCAGCCTGGAAGGGCCACTTGGCTCCAGAAGGGTTAATGGTAAGCCAGCCTGTGTATCCCAGCCTGCATTTTGCCTTAAGGAACAAAATCTGCCTGTAAAGAAAACACTGACTGGAACCATCTGCCCTCCCCTGTAGCTTGAAAGAAGCTGCATATAGACTCCCTAATCCTTTTTCTCTCCCCTCAGCCAGAAATGAATTTCATTTGGAGGCAAAATGAGGGGGCTGTGAGGGAAAGAGAGCAGAGAGAGGTAGGCCAGACACATCTGGACAGCTTTTCTTTGTAAATTCAGAAGACTACAGGGAATCACTTTCTCCCCTTGACAAAGGAAATGGACCACGGGGCAGGAATTGATGACTTGCAAATCTCATGCAGGTGAAGAGGTTATAGTGCCTGGAGGTCTTTGGGGCTTAGAAAAAATAAAGAGCAAATAATCTAAATGGGGCGGCTGTTTATGGGACCAGAATCCCCATCACCAACATCAGTCATCAGAGAGAGCAGTTCTGGAAGCTTGGTATCTTCAACAGTCCAGGGTCTCCACAGTCTGTTCACCTATTCATCCATTCAGTTATTCAGCAGGAATATATTAAGATATACTTAAGATTCTCTGCCAGGTGGTATGTTTGGTGCTATGGAAATAGCCATGGGCTTGGATTCACCTTCATCTCTAACAACGCGTGAGGAAAATAGTCACATAAGAAATAATATACAGACCATCAGTAACAAAGCAATCATCAGAAACAAGGACAGATAGGGTGGTAAATACTATAAAGTAAGTATTTTTAAAAACTGTTAACTTGACTTTAAGGGAGGTGGTGGTGACAAAGACTATCTCCTTGACCAAACTTTAGTTAAGTTCCTCTAAGTTCTCTTCTAAACCAGGTCTCCAACCTGGGCTTCAGTGACTGTGCTTGTATAGTCCATTTGCAGCAAGATTGCTAAGTCAGTTTAGAGAGAATCCCCTCCTCCCTTAAGATCTGATCATCTTCAACATCTGATCAAATTCCTCAACCTCCACCATCCCCCACCCTTTTTATCTGATCACCTGGCCTGTCTTCAGCAAGAATCTTGCCAAGTTGGATTAGCCAGAATCCCCCTTACCCCTGATGTTTTGTCTTAGTAATTTTCCATCCACTGACCCTGACTCTGCTCCTGGGCTGTAAATCCTTCTCTTCCATATTGTATTCTGAATTGAGCCCAGTTCTATACTGAGATCTCCTTTCCCTTCTTGCCATAGTGAATAAAAATCTGTTTTTACTACTTCAACTTATGTTCAGCTCTAGTTTTTTTAAACAATGGTGTTAAAAGATATACTTGGGCGCATTAAAATGTTAAAGAGTTTATTTGAGCATTCAGGAATTCATGAATTGGGCAGCACCAGATCACAAGTGGTTCAGTACCCCACTAAGAGTGAAGATATTCACAGAAGCATGACCAAAAAAATTTTTTGTTTGTTTAAAGTGCAAAATCTCTAGTTAAAGGTTAGTTGGCAGTTACTGATGATTAAGCTTAAGTTTTGTTTTACTGCTTACATGGAGATGGATTTTAGCATGATGACGTAGGAACTGAGGTGTCTCAGCCTGATGGCTTGTCAAATAATTATTGTAACAGTGGTATGAGACAAAGCTTTGAAGAATAGAAGATAGCCATATGTCCTCCAACATATGACCATGTAGTTTTGGGAATATATCATCCCCAGCCTGAGGAGCAGAGCATGTTTGAGATGAAGACCCAATCAAAGTTTTAATCAGAAGAAGACTTGAGGCTTTCACTTCTAGCTCCACCCTACAAAACCCCAGAGGCTTCTTCTCCAACAAGGAAGAAAATACAGGTAGAGAGAGGAAGAAAACATAACTATTGGGTACCAAGCTTAATAACTTGGTGGTGAAACAGTCTGTACAACAAACCCCCACAACAGAAATTTACCTATATAATAAACCTTCACATGTACCTCTGGACCTAAAATAAAAGTTTTTAAAAAAGAAAATACAGGTAGAGAATACGGTTTACTCTTCCACAAATGGACACAAAACCAGAGCTAACATGTATGAGGTCACTTATCCACTATGCAATATGTATTCCCCTGGTCTTTTGCCAGTACCACAACTTACTGGGGATCTTGTCTAATGAAATGAATGAATACTTCATTCTCAAAGGTTCTCAGTCACTGGTGGTCCTGTTCCTGGAAGGTTATAATAGTCCCCTGTAAATGTTTACAACAACGCATGGTAACAAGACAAGACTGGGGAATAATCAGAGTTCCATTCATATTCTCCTCTGCCCCATCACGCAGCCCAAACACTATCTCCACTCAATGGTCAAGCTCAACCACACCAACCAACCTTTTTTTTCCCTTTGTTTACCTCGTGGCTCCATGAGCCTGAAGTGGCCTGGGAGTCACCAAGACTTCCAATTCAGTAGACTTACTGTTTCCCCCATGGGATTATTCCTTCCTTGGGTACCTCCTAGGGTTCACCAGACCATAGAACCACAAGTCAAGAAGCAACATTTTGAGCATGGATCATTAGGTTCAGTCACAGGAGGCACCACACAACCTCTGCCACTTAGTTCCAAAATCTATGGTCATATACTACAGTCTGAAAAACAATGCCCAGTACTTACAATCAGTTACCTCCCACCTGTTGTCATATCTAAATCTTCAATAAGGCATTCCACTCTCCTTTAAGGTCAGCTGGAGAATATATTATTACCATGATAATATGTCTACTGCCTTTTTTATTATACTGTACATACCAGGGACTTAGAGTTGTACAGTAAGGCTGGAAAATTGGGCATTAGCAGGGAAAGGAGCCTTTGAGTGAAGAAGCCCATAGAGTCCATGCACAGAGTTTATATCACTTGTAATTGCCTCACATCCTCTCAGGGAATCTTCAGTTCTACTTACTACTGGGACAATGGCCTGTGGGTTTAGCCTGATGGCTGTTTGACACCTTAGTTGAACTATCTATCTTGGGCTTGCCCTGGGACTTCTCTGACATTGTGGTGTCCATTTGGTCAGGCATAAGCAAACCTAGAAATAAGAGGAAAACAGCACCCATGGGGCAACCCATAGAGGCAATGGGCAAATGTTTTCCTTTTCCAACACTTGGGTTGGTAATTCTGAAGTTCTCAGAGGTTCGCAGTGGGATAAAATTCTAATTCCCCACAGTAGTGACCCACTCAATAATGCAAACTTATAGTAGCTTTCCCTTCCCCGTTTTCTTCCCAGGCCTCCACCCATTTTCCCTGGAATCACAACCTAAAATCAACAACCAGCCCACAAACTCCTCTTATCTGGATCTACTTTCTGGGAGAAGCTAATCTAAGAGAGTTGCTCTAAGAAGTGATCCTGGAAATCAGACTTTCCAGGTGGAATTCTGGAACGAGGCAGATGGTCATCAGGAGGCCATTGTTGGTGGGGAGTTGGGTGGCAATTATCCTGGCAGGCAATCGCATCACTTGTCCTAAGGCTGAGGTAGATTGGAAGGAGATGCAGAAGTCTGGGGACACTGAATGAGATGAGGGTGGTGGTAATTATAAGGATTGCAGATGTGGCTAGCTGTGGTTAATGGTTTTAGAAGCCTTCATAAGAGAAAAAAAAAAAGACAGATCAGTTAGCCAACTACCAACTTGAAATTTGCTATAAAAGTTGAGAAGCCTCCATAACAACTGGGATGGCTCTTTGAAGCTTAGATACAAATTTGGCCTACAGTAAATGAGGAAGAGGTACCAAAACTGCCTGAGCAGAATGGAGGATTCAGAAGGCTCAAGAAGATAGGAATATTAGTTGGGTGTTTTTATATGAAAAACACCCTTAAAGTCATATAGCATCTTAGCTTACTATAGATATGTCAAGCCCTATTGTATATGTGGTTCAAACAAATTGAGTGAGGAGCCAACTGGACTGCTTTTTGGAACAGCTATAGATTCTTTTAATCTGAGCCTCTCTTAAAGCTGCCAAATTTTCAGGTCACCTGGAAAATGGGTGAGTGCAATACACTCAAATATGGCATCAGCTGATTTCAAATTTCTAGGAGACTCACTGTTATGGACCAAATGTTTGTACTCCCCCAAAATTCCTAAATTCATGAAGACCTATCCCCCATGTAATGGTATTAGCAGGTGGGGTCTTGGAAGGTGATTTCATTTATGAGGGTGAGGCCCTCATAAATGGGAAAAGTGCCCTTGTAAACAAAGCCTAAGAGAGCTATCTAGCCCTCTTTCTACCATGTGAGAACTCAAGGAGAAGTTGGGTGTCCACTTCCTAGAAAAGAACCTCACCAAAATCTGATCATAGTAGCATCCTGATCTCAACCTTCTACCCTCCAGAACTGTGAGAAATAAATGTTTGTTGTTTAAGCCACTCAGTCTACGTTAACTTGTTACAACAGCCCAAACTGACTAAGGCAACACTTAATATCATACTTTCTTCTTGGTTGAAGGAATAACAGGAGAGACCATTTTGTCATTTTTGGAAGAGATCCCTGACATGTTTTAAATCAGGGGTTGGCAAACAAAAGTCTTCAAGCCAAATCAAACCCACACCCTGTTTTTATAAATAAAAGTTTGTTAAAACACAGCCATGCTCATTGGTTTGCATATTGTCCATGACTGCTTTTGTACTATAACGGCAGAGTTGAGTAGTTGCAGGAGAGACCACGTATCCAAAGCTAAAATTATTCCCTATTTGGCCTTTTACAGAAAAAGTTTGCCAACCCTGCTCTAGATCACTGAAGCTATATAGAACTTGATTTCAAAGTATGTATATCTCACTCTCTGCACACATGTATCTAGCCAAACAACTAGGGAATCTGCTCTTTCCAGGTCTTACCTACATAATGTCATCAATCCTAGTGGACAACAAGCATGATGTCCTGTAAGATGGTGAGTCCATCAAAATCCTGTAGAATAGATTATAGCACAGATCTGGAGAATTTACAAATCCCTGAATTAGGACAGCAAATATATTACTTCTCTCCCTACCAAATGAAAGCAATTTGCCTCTGCTGTTTGCTATGATCAGAATGGAGAAGAAAGCACTCGTTGCCTGCTCAATAGCTGCATATCCAATGTCAGGGGCTGTGTAGCTTATATCCAGAAGGGGAACACATCTGAAATGGCAGCTGCAATTACAGTCTCCACCTAATTAAATTTATAATAAGCCACTATCATCTCAAGGATCCTTTTACGCTGACAAATAAAAAATTAAGTGTAGAGGGGTGAGGGACTCCCTCCTGTGCCTTTCAAGTCTTTGATGGTCATGACAGTGTCCTCAGCTGTCCTTGGAAATGCAATATTGCTTTTGTTTTTTTTCTTTTTGCATAACTGGTGAATGTTAATGGCTTCATTGGAGTCTTTCCCCATAGTAGACCTTACCATGGATCAGAAAACTGTATGGGAGTTCTATTAGTTGCCAAAGATATCCATTCCAGCTATACATCCAGACTGGGGTAATAATGATAAGGAGATTTATTGCTCTGTTGCCTTTCTGTGATAGAAACTCAAGTAAGATCATTTATCTCCTGGCCTGCAGAAGTCCTCTTCACTCCCCGTCTTAAATGATGAACTACAGTGCAGTTCTGAATCCTTGGTTTTATCTTGGAGCCAGAATCCAATAGAATTCCAAATGTTGGCCATCTCTTTTCTTAGGGTACAATTTCTGGGTTTGAAATAGTATCAGGTTCCTTTGGAGAGGACTGAGCAGATATTCACAAGGATATATAGGTGTATATTAGCCAGATCCATTTTGTCAAGGGTTCCAGGCCTCCCCTCCACTCCAGGGACTCAGAGACCATGGTCTGAGTCAAATAAAAGATTGGAGAAAGGTGATGGGTGGTGTGTTGGCTCAAGTCAGTCACTGCTCTACCCTTGCCTAAGTAATAGTCTAGCAAGAAAGACAAAAAATATACATGGAAATGTTTAATGTCTATTGGCATTATGAGGCATCATGTAATGAATACAGAGTACTATGAGAGCATATAATAGGGGAATCCCCTTCATTCAAGAAAGCTTCCATACAATCTAAAGAATAAATAGCTGACGAATCAGAGTACAAAAAGCATGGCATTATACATCCAACTTTATTTTTTAAATTAGATGTTTATGTGTGTAATTGAAGTGTCCCTCTACTCAGTTTGGGGCACATCATTTACATTCTGGGAACTGACTGGAGTACAATACGATTGTTGATATGCAATATGCACATATACATACATAGAAAAATGCCCAAAAGTGCCCATAATAGAGACAATTCATGGGTATCTCTGCAAGGTAGGTTATAAGCAGGGCTTACTTTCCTTACAACTAGCTCTCTAAATAATTATTTTTGAAACACACATAAAAGCAGGCATTTTTAAAGTAAGAACAAAGTGACTCATTTGTTTTCTTAAAGAGACGGACCTGCATCAATTTTTCAAGCTGTTTGACCTCTTAACTCTCATTTCCAGCAGAATCTAGCTGTGCAACAGTCTCTGCACCACACCTGTAGTTACAGAGTTCCAGAACTGCAATCTGAAGCCCTGGGAGCAGTGAGCAGTCTCAGATTTTCCCAGGACTGCAGCATTTAGGACCCAGTCCTAAGCCAAGAACAGGAGCTCTGACACCATAGAGACCCTCAGCATTCTGGCACATTTGGCACTGGTGGCTGCCTGGGCAGTGTGAGTCCTGGGACCAAGTACCTCTAGGAGAGTCAAACCATCAGAGTCCCCATCATGTCCCACCCTCAATAAGAAAACTGAGGCAGACTGTGTTGATCCAAACTTTCCTTGAATTTGGATAGAACAAATGGTTGGGTCAACAGCTTAAACACCTTTGCATTGAGGATCATCAAAACATCTTGAATTCTTTCCCCAATATTTTGGGTATGTCAAAACTCTCAGTCATGCTTGGCTGATTAATTCTAAATGCATATGACTTAAAAAGAAGCAGAGGGAAAGCAAATGGGATCCATGTTTTTTATTCATTCACACCTAATTTAGCCAGATGCGGGGGAAGGGTACCAGATGCTTAGCATTCAGTTATGATCATGGAGTATTCCATCAAAGCAGGAGCTTGACAGAGACCTGAGTGCCAACAGACAGACAGAACAACCAGATCCTCATTCAGTCTTTACTATGCACCTTCTCTTTGCTAGACCCTGGGCACTGCAGGCACAGAGACAGGTCAGACAAGTGCCCTGCCCTCCAGGATTCAATGTGCAAGGTCTGAGATGAATATATAGGCAGATAACTCCCAAAAAGAGTGTCAGGGCTGGGATAGAAGCAGTGTGAGCTACAGTGAGACCTCAAAGAGGAAGGAGTCTATTCTGCCTGGAGTGTAAGGAGAACCTCCATAGATAATAATGTGGACGCACACCATGTACTGAGTACTTGTCATCTGTATTAGTTTTGTAGGGCCAACTTAACAAATCACCACAAACTGGGTGACTTAAAGCAACAGCATTTTATTCTTTCACAGTTCAGAAGGCCAGAAATCTAGGTGTCAGCAAGGCTGGTTCCTCCTGGAGGCTCCGAGGGATAACTTGCTCCATGACTCTCTCCTAACTTTTGCTGGATCCTGGCAATCCTCAGCACTCCTTTGCTTGTAGCTGCATCACCCCAGTCTCTGCCTTATTCATCACGTAGCCATCACTTTTGTATCTGTGTGTATCCTCCTTTCATATGCATATAAATATATCAGTCATTGGGTTTAGGGAACACCCTAAATCCAGTATGATTTTATGTGAGATCTTTTTCCCAAACAAGTTTACATTCACAAGTATGGGGGCTAGGCCTTGACCATACCTTTTTGGAGGACACAGTTCAACACAGTACACCACATTTCAGCCCTTTAATTTTGAACATTATATGATCTGATTCTCATAACAACTCTGATATGGTTTGGCTGTGTCCCCACCCAAATCTCACCTTGAATTGTAATAATCCCCATGTGTCAATGGCAGGGCCAGGTGAAGATAACTGAATCATGGGGGCAGTTTCCCCCATATTGTTCTTGTGATAGTGACTAAGTCTCATGAGAGCTGATGGTTTTATAAAAGGGAGTTCCCCTGAACACACTCTCTTGCCTGCCACCATGTAAGATGTGACTTTGCTTCTCCTTCACCTTCCTCTACGATTGTGAGGCCTCCCCATTTATGTGGAACTATTACCCAATTAAACCTCTTTCCTTTATAAATTACCCAGTCTCGGGTATGCTTTTATTAGCAGTGTGAGAACTGACTAATACAAATCCTATGAGGCAGGTACTATCATCAGCCTGTGATATGGTTTGGCTGTGTCCTCACCCAAATCTCATCTTGAATTGTAGTTCTCATAATCCCATGTGTTGTGGGAGGGACCTGGTGGGAGGTAATGAAATCATGGGGGCAGTTACCCTCATGCTGGTCTCGTGATAGTGAATGAGTTCTCAAGAGATCTGATGGTTTTATAAGGGATTTTCCCCCTTTTTGGCTTGGCACTTCTTGCTGTCACTATGTGAAGAAGGACGTGTTTGCTTCCCCTTCCACCAGGACTGTAAGTTTCCTGATGCCTCCTTAGCCCTGTGGAACTGAGTCAATTAAACCTCTTTCCTTTATAAATTATCCAGTCTCGGGGTAGGTCCTTACAGCAGCATGAGAACAGACTAATAAACAGCCCCATTTTACAGATGTTGAAAAAAACTCAAAGAGGTAAGCAGCTTGCCAAAGTTCATGAAGCCAGAAAGTGGAAAAGCAGGGTTTGAACACAGGTCAGACAGAATCCAAAACCCTGTTTTTAGACAATTTGGCAGCTTCTTACAAAGCTAAATATAGTCTTACTAAATGATCTATGAATTACGCTCCTAGGTATTTACTCAAATGAGATAAAAATTTATAATCACACAAAAACCTGCACATAAATGTTTACAGCAACTCTATTCATAACTGCTAAAATATGCAAGCAAGCAAGATATCCTTCAATAGTTGAATGAATAGACAAGCTGTGGTACCTCTGCATAATGGAATACTATGCAAGGATAAAAAGAAATAAGTTACCAAGCCATGAAAAGACATAAAGAAACATTCAATGCATACTGCTAAGTAAAAGAAGATAGTCTGAAAAGGCTACATAGTGTATGGTTCCAACTATGTGATACTCTGGAAAAGGCAAAAGCACAGAGACATTAAAAAAAATTCGGTAGTTGCCAGGGGTTCTGGGGGAGGGAGAGATAAATAGGTGGAGCACAGAGAATTTTTTAGAGCAGTGAAACTCTTCTGTAATAGTGGATACATGTCCTTATACATTTGTAAAAACACATAGAGCTGTACACAAAAAGTGAACCTTAATGTAACCTGTGGACTTTAGTTAATACTAATGTTTCATAACAAATGTATAATGCACAGGTGCAAGATGCTAATAACAGGATAAATTGTGTGTGTCGTGAGGGGGTATATATGGGAACTCCATACTTTCTGCTCGAGTTTTCTGTAAACTTAAAACTATTCTAACAAAGTCTATTCGTTATAAATAAATAAATAAGGAGCTCACCAGGAGCCAGCTTAGGGGAGTATTGAGAAAGTTGAAGGGGGAAAACACCTGCTAAGAAATGAAAGAACTGAAAAGCCATCAGGAAAAGATGAGATTGCTGTTCCTCCTTGCTCCTCCCCATTGGACACTGAGGTATACTGTCATCAGCTTTGTCAGGTTTTCAGTAATGAAATATTTGTTTGTCTGTTTCTCAGCTCCAGGACTCCATGCTGGAAGATGGATGTGCAGATATAAATAAGACATAGCATTGGTCCCTAACTAGCTCACATTACTGAGTAGGCATCAGACACAAAGCATAGAGTACAAAGAAATGAAATGGACCTTGGGTGGCTCTGAGGGCAGAGTGGGGAACCAGCGACCTCAGCTTCCAAACTTGGGGCCAAATACAAATGGGGCAATTAATAAAAATACAGCCTGAGTCCAAATCCAGTGTGACCCTCTGCTCCCCAGCACACAACTCAGGGAGAGGATTTGGCAAGGTAGGGGGACCATTGAGCTGAGACGGGCACCTGAACACAACTGGTGATTCAGTTCCTACAGCCCAGGTGCTGCCCACAGGCCTTTCTCAGGGAGCCAAGAACAGTGAGGGCTGTGTGGATGTCAGCCCCACTTATTCTCCGTGCTAGGACAATGGACCGCAGCCACACAGAGCCCCTTCCCCATGATGCCCTTCTCCCTGCCTTGCCTTTCCTCTTTCCTTATCCTGCTCTCCTTAGAGAACATGTTATCACTTCTCACTTGGAGGAAACAGAAGCAGCAAGCACCAAGGGAAGACATTGCTGCTATGGCTCTTGGCTTTCGTTCCCATTTGGTGGTTGGCCTCACTCCCAGTATGGCAGCCCAGTGGCTCTGTGCAGACATTGGGAAATAGAAAGGAAGCCCAGCACAGTCCACTGGCCTTGGCTTCCTTACTTATGTCTATCCAGATTCTCTGATGGCCACTAAGCCCCTTCCTGTTTTATTGGTGAAACTGAGCATGGGAAGAAATGGAAAGTGCTGACTCAGGTCCTCAGTGGTCAGCATCTCCCGCCTGCTGTATCTCCAGCTAACCCATTGTCTGGCACACAGCAAACACTGTGGCTGTGACTCTACAGCAGTTCAGTCTAGGTGCTGGGACACCTGTCTCTCTGGCCTTCTTTCCTCCTCCTCCCATTCCCAAGAATATCTCCTTGCCCCAGTGAACCAACTTGGCCTGTTCCCCAGACAACTCTTTTACAAATTCTTCCCCAACTCTCCCAAAATGACTCACTCCTGACTGTGTGTTTCCAAACCTCTTTCTTCTTATGTAGAATGAAGCACCTTGCATAGCATCTGTTTTCATTCCTGTCTCTCCCAGAGACTCATTGCTTCCTTTCTATTTCCCCAGCATAAAGCAGAATAAAAGGCACATAGTAGGTGCTCAGCAATGCTTATGGGATGGATGCCATGGGCAGGAGGCAGTTAAATGTTATTTCATTTCAAGAGTATGGACACCATCAGAGCAGATGGAAACCATTTGGGAAATTCAGCTCTTCCTGTCCAGCCTCATGTTCTCTAGCCTAAGCTCCAACTTCCCACTGTCTCTCTTGAGGCTGAAACAGCCTACATGGGCAATGATGCCCACTTTAAAGTAGGTGTGGTGGGCTCTCTCCTAGAAACCAGCTCTCTTTTATGTTTCCCATCGCTGATTTCATTTCCAGTTTTGACCCCCTTAGGGCTAATGACAGCCACGTAGCTCATGAATTTTTGGAAGCTGCTCTCCCTCCAAGGGAGATGGAAAGTGGAATGTTCATGCATCATTCACTCGGCCAGCATTAGAGAACACTGGGCTGGGATGGAACACAGTGATGACTCAGACCCAAGCTCTGGCCATGAGGAGCTCAGATTCAAATGGGGATGGCAGATAAGTGAATGAATACTCAAAATACAATGTGGTTCAGGGTGAAAAAGAAGAACTTGCAGGGCAAGGAGTAAGGAAGGGTGGGTGCATGTGGGAAGACCAACCAAAGAAAGGACACAGAACCAGGCTTGGAGTGTTCAAGAAAGGCTTCCTAGCAGAGGCAATGCCGAAGCTGCAGTCTTAAGCACATGATAACATAGGATCTTAGACCATTTGAGATCCAGACCCCTGAGTTATCTGGGGACAACCAGGACAATATCAAGAATGATGATAAGATGCTGTCATAAAAGACCCCCAAGAACTTGCAGTTTCTATAGGCAGGAGAGGCCCATGGCAGAAAATTCTTCAACGGCTACCTGGGTTTCTGCTGCCCCTGATGCTGATGTAATTCAGGCCCCACAGCTCAGAGCTTCTGGATTCAAGTATCTCTAGTTATTGGTCGTATTTCCTATTTTCAGTCACTTCAAAAGGCCAGACCACAGAGTTCTTGTCAGATGTAGCCCTATGTTTCAGAATCAAGATAGGCAGAAGAATCGATCTACTGGAGACCTTGGGCAAGCCACTTAACCTAGCCCCAGTGTCCTGATTTGTAGAAGAAGGATGATAATAGTATTTCTCTTGTGGGTTTTTAAGGATAAAATGAGATAAAGTATATAAACCTCATCTTTCAAGCTTCTTTTGCTAACCTTAATCACACCAAGCTTTTTCCTCCCTTCTCATATGTCTTCTCTTGGCTGGAAAGTCCTATCCCAATTTGTGTAGATAGCACCTACTCATGTTTCAGGTCTCCCCCTGAAATCACTCCTCAGGAGAGCTTCCCTGACACCTCAAACCCAAGTACCCTGCATCACAGAGGCTCATGGTACCCGGAAATTTTTTACATTGTACTCAATGAATTTGAACATTCAACAGGTCATTACATCTTTGCCAGCCCACTATAAGGACAGAGACTTATCTTATTCAATATTGTATCTCCAACTAACCCACAGTGGCTGGCACATAGCAGATGCTTGGTCAACATCTATTGAACGAATGCATAAAGCAAATAAATGAGAACTCAATGTTTAATAGGTATTACCAATACTGTATTCTCAGTTACTAGCTACATGACTTTGTTGCCTCATCTGTAAAATGGGAAGAATGAATATTCAGAATGACCCTGCAATATAAGTGTTGACCTAATGTAGATAAAATACTTCTCATAGGAGAGGCCCAACAAGTGATAGTGACTATTCTCATCTTAAGGGCAAAGCAGAATTAGAACCTCTGTTTCTGAACCACAGAGATCCTTTTCCCATGTTTCCAAAGGTCAGAAAAATATTATGTGATCCTCACTCCCACATCACCTAGTGCCTTCAAAAAGACACCTAAACGGAACACTCTGGCCATGGCCATGCCGGGCACGCTGCCTTGACAACTGTGGCCGTCCTGGCCTGTGGGCTGGGGCAGATGTGCACACTCCTGCTTCTGACTGGAACAGAAAGGCAAAGAGGGAACACTGCCAACGCCTTTGTGCAGATTCATCATTTTCAATGCTCATTCTTCACATATGTTTTCGATCTCACACAAAACATGGACTTCTGGTTTCCATTACCTTTGTTTCATTTTAGAATATAATGTTTTTTATAGCCTGGGGAAGGGAGGAAGAAAGTAAGCAAGCAACTGAGCGTGTGAGCTGATACGGTTTTTATTTTTCCATCAGAAGAAAGAGGGAAAGAGAGAGTCAAGAAACCAGGGATGGCAGAACTGCCTGGGAGTTGATTACCCAAGCATTTATTCCCCAAGCATTTATTGAGTCAATCATTGATTCCCCAAGCATTTATTGAGCACCTACTCTGTGCATGTAGAGAGACAGGATAAAACAATGACTAACACATGGTCCCTGCAGTCAAGTAATCTGCAATAAGCAGATAAATTGATTCATAGCACATAATACAAGACAGATTTTTTTTCTGGAAGGGAGGAGAAGAAAGCAGGGAAAAGATAAAGGTTAGGAAAAAAGAAAGAAAAAAGTGAAGAAAGAATAAAAGGAGGAAAGGAAAGATGAGAGGAAGTGAAGAAAGAAAGAAGGGATATGAAAAAGAAGGGACGGAAAGAGGCTAACACGTATTCATCACTTCCTATGTGCCAGGCACTATGCTAAGAACCTTACATCTTGTATTTTATTTAGTCCTCATAACTTCCCTTTAAGGGAAGCCATTTACCATTTTACAGGTGAGAAAACAGAGGCTTAGGTAATACCCAAGGTCTCAGCTGGTAGCACAATCTGGGGGTGCACAGGCCACAGAGCTCCTTGCCTGGCCCCCTCACACAAAGGTGTTACCAACCGGCTCTGCTCTGAAGAAAAAACCCTCCTTCTTACATGCATGAGGAGTCCAACACCTGGTTATTCCACTGGCTCCTCAAAAGCCTCCCAGAAACATAGCCAGTTAAAACCGATGGACCTTAGAGATCATCTGATCCAACCCACCTGAGGAGACACACATTCAGAAACAGGTGGAGATTTGCCTGAGGTCTTGTGGAGAATACAGGAGACCTGGGGCCCAGTCCTCCCCACTGGAGCCCATGGGGAATTCAGCAATGCCAATAGCTAGGGCATTTAATTGCTTCCAGACCAGGGAAGACTGCAGTCCACCCTCCTCACTCCATCCCGTCCTGGCTGAAGCATTCCCAGGTCTGCTGAGCAGGAAGGTTTGTTTTGGCAGAAAGCTGGGTGCTGTCCAGCTCGATAATCATTTGTGTTAACACGCCATTATGTGTGTCGTTAACAGACTTGGCAACTGGGACTTGGCTTTTTCTTCCCTTACATTTTCTTTTTATTTTCCAAAAATAGAAAAATAAAATGCAACTCCCATATATGAATCAGAAAGACCAAGATTCCCAGCCACGCAGGTGCTTGCAGACTCGGCCTGGAAGAAGAGGCTTGACCAAAAGCATGTCATTGCCCAGCAAGTATCTCACGACTTTGTTCTTGAAGGAGGCTCCATCTGACATCATGGCTGGAGTTTGCTCCTCCTGACCAGGGCTCACACATCCAACCTTTCCTACAATGGCACCCAAGTGCCCTCTCTGCCAGCCTAGCTCATGGAATGGAAAATGTCAGGGCTGTGGAGTCAAACAGACCTGAGATAAAAGACTGACTCTACCATGTTGTGGCTTTTGATAACTTGATGAAGAGATTTAACCTCTCTGTACCTCAGTTTCCTCATCTGGAAAATGGGGGTAACAATGAGATATTATATCATTCTTCCCTTTATTTCTGCCATGCCTGGCAATTCATCTATTAAAAAATGAGAAAGATAAAGAGGGTTAAATGATAATGTTGTACTCCTGATATTTAACAGGATTTCAATATAATGTACTCAGAATATAATGATAAATCAGACACAGGCCTTGCCTTCCAAAGACTTACAGGCTCCTAGGGGAGCTCAATATAAAGAAATTTAATTCCTTTATTATTCCACAAATACACTGTAAGCTGTTCTCCCCAAGTCCAAAGTTAACACCCTGGTTCAAGCCACCATGTTCTCTCACCTTGATGACTGCAATTACCTTCTTTATATATATATATATATATATATATATATATATATATATATATATATATATATATATATATATATATGGAACATTTCATGAATTTGCATGAAATGTTTGCACAAGGGCCATGGTAACCTTCTCTGTATCATTCCAATTTTACTATATGTGCTGCCAAAGTGAGCACTGCAATTATCTTCTAACTGGTCTCCAAGTTCCCTCTCTTGCTCCTCCAGTCTGTTCTCAGCAGAGAAGCCAGCATGATCCTTTCAAAACACCAGTCTGATCACATCATGCCCCTGCTCAAAACCTCCCAGTGGCTTCTCATTCAACTTAGGGGAAAAAACCTAAATTCTTTACCTTAGCCTAGAAAGTCTGATGATCTGGGACCTGCCTGTCTCACTGCCCTCCTCACTCATTCTGCTCCAGCCATACCAGTCTTCTTGCTCTTCCTTGAGCACACCTAGAAAGTTCCCACTTCAGATTCTTTGTTGTCTCTCCTAGAATGATGCTTCCCCAGGTATCTGCATAGCTCCTTCCCTTACTTTATTCACGTCTCTGCTCAAATGCCACCTCATCAAAGAGGCACACTATCCAAAATAGCATCCCCATTGCTTACTATGCCTTTACTTTGCTTTAGAGAAAGACTTATCACTTTCTAAATTATATTATATACCTGTTTGCCTGTGTTCAGCCTGTCTCACAAGAAAATAAATGTCCAAAGAACAGAGATTTTGGATCACTGCCTTGCACGTGCTAAGTACTCAGTAAACATTTATTGGGTGACTGAATTAATGCAGAAATTAACACACACTATGTGCCAAGCTCTATACTAAGCACTGGTGAGACCAACTGGACAGAGTCCTTCCCTCCTAGTCAACGAGGGATTTGACAGAAGGAAGCTCAGTAGCAACCTCGAAGAGGTACCTGTTCCAGCTGCAGAAGTTCAGACCCAGGGAATCATTTCAAAAGGAAAATATTTTTAAACCATGTCTTGAAGAATGAGTCAGAGTAGCCAGGTAAAGATGGGAAAATTAGGGGGAAGGAGAGGGGATTCTAGACAGAGGAGACATCATGAGAAAAAGCATAGAGGAAAGAAAAATCTTGGTGTGTTTTGAAAACCACAAACACTTTTGTTTTGCTGAGGCTATGTGTATGTGAGGGTGTTGGGGGTTAGTGCAGAAAAACAAGAGATGAAGCTGGAGACATGAAAAGGAAGAGATCATGGAAGGACTTCTATGTCAGTTGGGGATATTAGATCTTATCTGCTATACGAAGTCATTCAAGAATAATAACATGGTCAGTTTTCAAAGTTCATTCTGACCAATGGGCAGTGAATAGATTTGAGGGAGGTCTAAGTGTGAAGTACAGAGATAAGGTAGCTAATACTACAATAACAACAATAAAAATTAGAAGAAAAAAATACTTGCTATCTATAACTACAACCATCTTCTAAAGAGGACAGATCCTATTAAATGGGAGAGGGACTTTTTGGTTCTGCTAGGAATTTCATTGACTTTGATTATACAGATTTGAGGGGAGAAGGTGTGGAGAGCTGAGTCCTCTGCGTGATAGAAGAAAATAAACCCCGGAGAATCTCAGTGGGAAAAAAAGAGAAGCAAAGGAAAGAGGAGAAGGAAAGAGGAGCCAGCAAAATAGTGTGATGCTACTCACTAATCAGGGTGAATTTCCAGTGAGAAAAATCCAGAAGCAGAGGAGCTTTTAAAAACAGGAGATTGTATTTATGATTTTAAGTTGTTTGCTAAATAATAGGAGCTCTACTTCATGATATGATGAAATCACTGGTATGAAATCCCTCCCACGATTAAAACAAAACAGAATAAACATAAAACTGAACAAAATGTAGAAGACAACAGTTTTCTGGCATTGGACAATAGGCAACACATGACGTGATCCCTGAAAGGAGATAAGCTTGCAAGGTGAGCCCCACAATTGCCCCAGCTCTCTGGGAATGGTTTCCCTCACTGCAGAGCAGAGAGCTAGAATCTGAGCACAGCATAGTAGTTCTGAAGAGCTGATGAGGCAGAAGCCAGAGTTCAGAGCAGCTGACATGACTACAATCTGTAGGGCACGGCACCAGCGAGGAGTGAACTGCACAGACAGGGGTCCCCAGAAGCCTGTATATGGGTGCCCTATGGAGTCCTTTACTGAGAGCTACGCTATGCCTTCTCAGGATGAGAGTACACAGGCTTACCACAATGTAACTACAATGGGATAGATAACAGAACAGAGATGCTAGAAGTTAAACAGTTCTAGAAAACAGAGGAGATATAGTCCAGCCAGAGCAAAGACATCTTATTCACATTTCAATGCTCCAACTGAGAAACCAAAATGGTGACAATTTAAGAATAAGAACCACACACTAGAGTAAGGCATACTTTTGATAAGCACTGTTCAATATAACTTTCTGTGATAATATTAATGTTATCTGTACTTTCCAAAATGATAACCACTAGCAACAGGTGGCTACTGAGCACTTGAAATATAACTAGTGCAACTAAGAAAATTATTTTAAACTATTTTATTTAATATAAATTTAAATTGCTACATGTGGCTGCCATATTGTGTAGCACAGCTTTAGATCTACCCTAACAAAGCCTAAAACCAGGCCTTCACAAAATTCACAAGGGACACAGACTTTGAGGTTGATCCTATTAAGTTAGAGGAGCATGGGAAAGACATTGGGCTTTCCACAGAGCCTGCCTATCATAGCATAAATATGAGCCTACAGAAATTTAAGGTGATGAGACAGTAATTGAACCCCTTACTGCCCACTAGAATAAAAGTTAACATTTTTTCAGAGGAAAATAACAGAATCAAAAATCTCTATAACATATTACCAATGTTCAGTATAATCAAAAATTACTAGATATGCAAAGAATGGAAAAACATGACCTCTAGTCAAGAAACCAATCCCAAGATAACCTAGATGTTGGATATAGCAGACAATTACTTTAAAGTAAAAGTTATAAATATTTTTAAATAATTGTGGGAAGATGCTCTTAATAAGTGAACAAATAGGAGATCTAAGCAGAGATACTAAAACAAAAAAGAACTAGGACTGAAATGCACAATAATGAAATTTTTTTAAATTGACAGTCTCAATGGACTTAACACAAATTGGGGGGGCAAAAGTGTAATGAGCTTGAAGATAAACCAATAGAAATTAGCCAATCTAAAGAAAACAAAAGAAAAAGATTGGAGAAAAAAATGAACAAAATCTCAGGATCTTCAAAACTGTGACAAATGGTCAAAATGCACGTAATAGAAGACCCAGAAGGAGAAGAGAATAAAAATGGGAAAGAAAACATTGGAAAAAATAATAGCTGAAACATTTCCATATTTAGTAAAGACATACATTTATAGATTCAAAATACTCAGTGAACACCAAGTAAGATAAATACAAAGAAAAACACACATAGACATGTCAGTGTCTAACTATGAAAACAAGAACAAGTCTTGAAAACAGTCAGAACACAAATATATGCTTATACTGATGCTTCTTGACTTATGACGAGGTTATGTCCCAATAAACCCATCATAAGTTGAAAATATTGTAATTTGAAAATACATTTAATACACCTAACCCACTGAATATCATAGCTTAGCCTAACCTACTTTAAACATGCTCAGAACACTTACCTTAGCTTGCAGTTGTGCAAAATCATCCAACACAACAACCGTTTTATAATGAAATGTTGAATATCTCGTATAATTTATTGAATACTATACTGCAAGTGAAAACAAGATGGTTCTATGGATACTTAGAGTACAGTTTCTATCGAATACATCGCTTTCATGCTATTATAAAGTCAAAAGGGCCGGGCACGGTGGCTCATGCCTGTAATCCCAGCACTTTGGGAAGGCTGAGGCAGGCGGATCACGAGGTCAGGAGATCGAGACCATCCTGGCTAGCACGGTGAAACCCCATCTCTACTAAAAATACAAAAAATTAGCCGGGCATGGTGGCAGGCGTCCATAGTCTCAGCCACTCAGGAGGCAGAGGAAGGAGAATGGCGTGAACCCGAGAGGCAGAGCTTGCAGTGAGCAGAGATCAGGCCACTACAGTCCAGTCTGGGCGACAGAGCAAGACTCCAACTCAAAAATAAATAAATAAATAAAGTCAAAAGATCATAAGTCAAACCATCATAAGTCAGGGACTGCCTGCACAGAAAACAATGAAACCTTACCAGCCAGAAAGGATTGGGGTTCTATCTTTAGCCTCCTTAGACAGAATAACTCTCAACCAAGAATTCTGTATCCAGAAAAACTAAGTTTCATAAATGAAGGAGAAATAAAGTCATTTTCAGACAAACAAATGCTGAGAGACTTTGTCACCACCAGACCAGCCCTACAAGAAATGCTAAAAGGAGTTCTAAATCTTAGAACAAAAGCTTCACATGCACCAGAAGAGAACCTCTTGAAAGCATAAAATTCACAGGTCCTATAAAACAGTAACACAATGAAGAAAACAAAGTATCTAGGTAACAATCAACAGGATGACTAGAACATTACCTCACATCTGAATATTAACTTTGACCATAAATGGCCCAAATGTTCCACTTAAAAGATCCAGATTGGCAGAATGGATTAAAAAATTACAAATCAAATATCTGCTGTCTTCAAGAGACTTGTCTAACATATAATGATTCATATAAATTCAAAGTAAAGGGATAGAAAAAGATATTCCATGCAAATGGAAACCAAAAGGGAATAGGAGTGGGTATTCTTATATCAGATAAAATAGACTTAAAGCAACAACAGTTAAAAAAAAAAGACAAAGAAGATCATTATATAATGATAAAAGGATCAATCCAACAAGAATATATTGCAATCCTTAAAATATATGCACCTAACTCTGGATCTCCTAGATTCATTAAAAAAAATTACTACTAGACCTAAGAAGTGAGACAGATAGCGATATAATAATATTGAGGGACAACAACACTCCATCGAAAGTGCTAGACAGATTATCAAGACATAAAGTCAACACAAAAACAATGGACTTAAACTATACTCTAGATCAAATGGACCTAACAGGTATTTACAGAACATTCTACCCAAGAACTGCAGGATATACATTTTTCTCATCAGTACATGGAACATTCACCAGGATAGCCTACGTAATAGGCCACAAAACAAGTCTCAATGAATTTTTAAAAATTGAAATCGTATCAAGTGTCTTCTCAGATGGTGTAATAAAACTAAAAATCAACTACAAAAGGAACGCTCAAAACTATACAAATACATGGAAATTAAACAATCTGCTCCTGGATGATTTTTAGGTTAACAATGAAATCAAGATGGAAATTTTAAAATACTTTAAAATAAATGATAATAGTGACACAAGTTATCAAAATATCTGAGATACAGCAAAAGCAGTGCTAAGAGGAAAGTTTATAGCATTAAATGCCTACATCAAAAAGTCTGAAAGATCGCAAATTGACAACCTAATGTCACACCTCAAGGAACTAGAGAAACAAGAACAACCCAAACCCAAAGCTAGCAGAAGAAAAGAAATAATAAATGGGAGCTAAATGATGAGGACACATGGACACACGGAGGGGAATAACATACATGGGGCCTTTAAGAGGGTGAAGGGTGGGAGGAGGGAGAGGGTCAGGAAAAATAACTAATGGGTACTAGGTTTAATATGTGGGTGATGAAATAATCTGTATAATAAACCCCCAACACAAATTTACCTGTGTAACAAACCTGCACTTGTACCCCTGAACTTAAAATAAAAGTTAAAAATAAAAAAAAGAAATAACAAAGATCAGAGCAGAACTAAATGAAATTGAGACCAAAAATATTCAAAACATCAATGAAACAAAAAGTTGATTCTTTGAAAAAAATAAATGAAAATGGATAGATTAGCTAGATTAACCAAGAAAAGAAGAGAGAAGATTCAAGTAAGTTCAGTTAAAAATGAAAATGGAGACACTACAACCAACATCACAGAAATACAAAAGATCATTCAAGACTACTATGAATACCTCTATGCACACAAACTAAAAAATCTAGAGAAAGTGGATAAATTCCTGGATACATACAAACCTCCTAGATTAAATCAGGAAGAAATACAAATCCTGAACAGATCAGTAACAATCAGTGAGAATGAATCAATAACACAAAAAAAAAAAATGCTAGCAAATCAAAAAGCCCAGGGCCAAATGGATTCACAGCTGAATTGTACTAGACAAAGAATGAGTACCAATCTTATTGAAACTATTCCAAAAAAGTAAGAAAGAGGAAATTCTCTCTAACTCATTCTATGAAGCCAGTATCACCCTGATATCCAAACCAGGAAAGGACATTAAAAAGAAAACTACAGACCAATATCCTTAATGAACATAGATGCAAAAATCCTCAACAAAATACTAACTAACTGAATCCAACAGCATATCAAAAAGATAATATAGCATGATTAAGTGGGTTTCATCCCAGAGATGCAAGGTGGTTTAACATACATACACAAATCAACAAATGTGATTCATCACATAAACAGAATTAAAAACAAAAACCATATGACCATCTCAATAGATGCAGACAAAGCATTCAGTAAAATCCAGCATCCATTTATGATAAAAACCTTCAACAAACTAGGCATAAAAGGAACATATTTCAAAATAATAAAAGCCACATATTACAAACCCACAGTCAACATCACACCGAATGGGGAAAAGTTGAAAGCATTTCCTGAGAACTGGAACAAGACAAGGAAGCCCACTTTCACCACTTCTATTCAACATAGTACTGGAAGTCCTAGCCAGAGCAATTAGCCAAGAGAAAAAAGTAAAGGTTATCCAAATTGGAAAAGAAGAGCCAAACTATTGCTGTTCACCAATGATACGATGCCCTTTCATATACCTAGAAAACTCTAAACACTCCTCCAAAAGACTCCTAGATTTGAAAAACAAATTCAGTAAGTTTCAGGTTACAAAATCAATGTACACATTAGTAGCACTGCTATATACCCACAACAACCAAATTGAGAATCAAATCAAGAACTCAATCCCTTGTACACTAGTTGCAAAAAATACTTACAAATATACTTAACCAAGGAGGTGAAAGATCTCTGTAAGAAAAAAAAACTACAAAACACTGCTGAATGCAATCATAGATGACACTAACAAATGGAAACACATCCTATGTTCATGGATTAGAAGAATCAATATCATGAAAATGACCATCCTGCCAAAAGCAATGCCTACAGATTCAATGCAATTCTTATCAAAATACCAACATCATTTTTCACAGAAATAGGAAAAAAATCCTAAAATTCATATGGAACCAAAAAAGGGCCCCAATAGCCAAAGCAATCTGAAGCAAAGAGAACAAATCTGGAAGCATCACATTACCTGACTTCAATTTATACTACAAGGCTATAGAGTTACCAAAACAGCATGGTCCTGGTATAAATGTAGACACATAGACCAATGAAACTGAATGGAGAACCCAGAAATAAAGCCAAATACAACCAATTGATCTTTGACACAGCACACAAAAACATAAACTGAGGAAAGGATGCCATATTTAATAAATGGTGCTGGGAAAACTGGATAGCTACATGTAGAAGAACGAAACTGGATCCCTATCTCTCACCTTATATAAAAATCAACTCAAGATGGATTGAAGACTTAAATCTAAGACTTGAAACCATAAAAATTCTGGAAGATAATCTAGGAAAAACTATTCTGGACATGGGCCTAGGCAAAGAATTTATGACTAAGACGCCAAAAGCAAATTAACAAAATCAAAAATAAATAAATGGGACATAATTAAACTAAAAAGCTTCTGTACAGCAAAAGAAATAATCATCAGGGTAAACAGACAACCCACAGAATTGGGAGGAAATATTTTCAAACTATTCATTCCACAAAGGACTAATATTCAGAATCTACAAGGAACTCAAACAAATCAGAAAAAAAAAATCCCACCAAAAGTGGGCAAATAACATGAATAAACATTTCTCAAAAGAAGATATACAGATGGAAAATAAACAAATGAAAAAATGCTCAACATCACTAATCATCAGGGCAATGCAATTAAAACCACAATGAGGTAGGACCTTATCCTTGCAAGAATGGTCATTATTAAAAAGTCAAAAAAAATTGTGTTGGCATGAATGTGGTAAAAGGAGAATGCTTATACTGCTGGTGGGAATGTAAATTAGTACAACCACTAAGGAAAACAGTATAGAGATTCCTAAAAGAACTAAAAGTAGATCTACCATTCAATCTAGCAATCTCACTACTGGGTATCTACCCAAAGGAAAAGAAGTCATTATATCAAAAAGATACCTGCATGCATAGGTTTATTGCAGCACAATTCAGAATTTCAAAGATATAGAACCAATCTAAGTGCCCATCAACCAAAGAATGGATAAAGAAAACGTGGTGTATATATACACCATGGCATACTACTTGACCATAAAAAGAATGAAATAATGTCTTTTTCAGCAAATTGGATGGAGCTGGAGGCCATTATTCTAAGTGAAGTAACTCGGAAATAGAAAACCAAATACCATATGTTCTCACTCATAAATGGAAGCTAAACTCTGGGTATGCAAACGCATACAGAGTGGTATAATGGACTTTAGAGACTCAGAAGGGGGAAGACACAAGGGAGGCAAGGCATAAGAAACTACATATTGGGTACAATGTACACTACTTGGATGATGGGTGCACTAAAATCTCAGACTTCACCACTGTACAATTCATCCATGTAACCAAAAACCACTTGTACCCCAAAAGCTATTGAAATACAAAAAAGATATATATTTCTAAAAAGTGCAACACAGACCTATCAATGTAACAGAATAGGTAAAGTTCACTGAGATAATAGGCAAAGTTCAAACAACAATAAGCCTTTAAAAACACTACCCCTTTTTAAGTTTTAGTGTGGTAACTAATAATATCCAAAATTATGTGACAAAGACTATTAAAATACTTTCTCCTTCTAACTACATATCTTCTGCTATACAGATTTTCTTCAAATTCTGTGACCAAAAACATTGCAGCAGGATGAATGAAGAAACAGATAGGAGAGGCCGGGTGCAGTGGCTCACACCTGTAATCCCAGGAGTTCAAGACCAGCCTGGCCAACATGGTGAAACCCTATCTTTACTAAAATTAAAAAAAATTAGTCAGGCATGGTGGTGGGCACCTGTAATCCCAGCTACTTGGGAGGTTGGGGCAGGAGAATCACTTGAACCCAGGAGGTGAAGGTTGCAGTGAGCCGAGATCGCACCACTGCACTCCAGCCTGGGTGACAGTGTGAGACTCCATCTCAAAAAAAAAGAAAAAGGGAAAGAAACAGAGAGGAGAATCTAGCTGTCTCCTCTTAAACCAGACATATATTTTCAGACATGAAAAACAACATCTCCCTTCTCACTAAATGATTTCTGGTTTGGAAAATGCAGTTGTGTTCTATAAAAAAATGAATGTTAACATGTAATGGGTTTAATACTGTTATTTTTAGCAAATTAACAAATAAATATTTTTAAATTTTCAAAAAAAGATTTATTGCTGACTCCTCATCAGAAACAATGGAGGCAAGAAGACAATGGACCAACATTTTAAAGTACTAAATGAAAAAAATCTATCAAACAAACAATTCTATATTGATCAACAATATTCCTCAAACTCTAGGATTAAATAAAGACTTTTTTTAATCAACTAAAGCTGAGAGAGTTTGATGTCAGCAAACCTGCACTGCAGAAAGTGATAAAGGATGTTTTTAGGCTGAAAAGCATTAATATTGCCTGGATACTCTGGTCTAAAGGCAAGAAAAAACAGCACAAAAAGAAATTTTGTAAGAGGTTAAACATAAAAGATTTTTTTCATAATTTTCTTAAAAGACAACTGAACATTTAAAGCAAAAGTAAGAACATTGTAAGGCAGAGTCTGTAACTTATGCAGAAATAAAAAGTATGACATCAAAAACATAAAGTATGAGATGTTGATTAACAGAATTATACTGCTATTCCATCTGTAAAGTGGGAAATAAGTGTCAGGTGTGAATTAAGAAATGAAAAGTGTGAAGAGTCAGAAGAACAAAGCAGTATAATATTAAGTGTAAATAAATTTAATTTGTTAAGTTAAAGATGCATATTGTTAGCCATAGAACAACCAGTAAAAAGTAATAAAAAGAAGTACGGATGGGAAGCTAATTGAGGATATAAAATGGAACTCCAGAAATATATATAATTAGGAAAGGAAAGGATAATTAAAGGAATAAAACCCAGAAGAAATGAATGAAAACAAATACCAAGGTAGTAGACTTAAACCCAAACATATTAATAATCTTATTAAATGTAAAGAGACTAAAACTCCCCAATGAAATTTAAAAAAAAAGGAGAATGACAAACTAGATAAAAAAGCAAAATTTAAGAATATTCTGTCTAAAGGGATGTACTTTACATTTCAAAACACAAATATGTTAACAGTGAAAGGACAGAAAAAAGATATGTTATCTATCATTACAGACTGAATTGTGTTTCCCCAAAATTCATATGCTGAACCCCGAGTTGCTAATGTGACTGGCTGTATTTGAAGATAGAGCCTTTAGGGAGACAATTCAGGTTAAATGAGGTCATAAGGGGAGGACCCTAATGGAATACGATTAATGTCCTTAACAATAAGAGGAAGAGGTATCAAAAATCTCTCTCAGAGAAGAGGTCAAGTGAGGACCCAGCAAGAGGGCAGCTGTCTACAAACGGAAAGAGAGACCTGGCCAGAAACCAACCCTGATGGCACCTTGATCTTGACCTCCAGACTGTGAGAAAGTAGCTTTCTGGCTGGGCCTGTGGCTCATGCCTGTAATCCCAGCACTTTGGGAGGCTGAGGCAGGCAGATCACTGGAGGTCAGGAGTTCAAGACCAGCCTGGCCAACATGGTGAAACCTGTCTCCACTAAAAATACAAAAAAAAAATTAGCTGGGTGTGGTGGTGCGCACCTATAATCCCAGCTACTCAGGAGGCTGAGGCAGGAGAATCACTTGAACCCAGGAGGTGCAGACTGCAGTGAGCCAAGATCATGCCACTGCACTCCAGCCTGGCAACAGAGTGAGACTCAGTCTACAAAAATAAAAAGAAAGTAACTTTCTGTTGTTTAAGCCACCCAGTCTATGGTTCTTTGCTATGGCAGCTCTAGCTGACTAAGACATTATACACAGAATAACATAATAAAGGTGGAGTTGATATATTGATATCAAGATACTTGCTGTTTGTGCTGTGTGATCCCATTGAGTGACAAGTGTTTAATGAAACCTCCTACATTCATGAAAGCTTTGTGCAAGTGTGCTTCCTTTCAAGAAAGGGCGTGGGTTTCATGCCTAGTTCTAGACATTGCAGAATACAGAGCGCATATGCTAACATAGAGACCAAAAGCAGAGATGACTGTGAAAACCTCAGCACCTTTGAGAATTTGCAGAGCCTCAAAGAGGATATTAAATGCCCACAGAACATGAAATAGTGGTTTAACCTGCTATCTTGGGATGTTGGAAATTCCAGATGATATCTGGGTTTAATAATTTTTTTAAGCGTCATAATAATATTGATGATGATGGTGAAGAGGAGGAGGAGGAGGATAGAAAAAAGTCTAGGTCTCTTATTTCCAAGTTCAGGGCACTTTTCAGTAACACATAGCACTTTCTGCTTTTGAGAAGCAAACTGCATAATGGATATTATGATTAAATAACGCAGAAGTTCAGGCTACTGAAGGGATCACAAAGTCTTCTTAGAGGAGGAAACCTTTTTTTTTTTTAATTTGTCTCATTTTATTTCTTGGTAATTACTCAACCATAATTGGGAGGTGTTAGAATTTTGAGGACAAGGTTTGAGAAGTGTTATCCCATATAAGCTACTATTTAAAATTATTAAAATCTCGAGGAGGAAACTTTCACATTAGACCATAGAAAGGGTACAGTTAGAAAATCCGGAGACAGACTGAGCAGGATATGGCCCTTCTATGAAGGGTCACCATGGACATTCATGAGTGATGTGTCCTGTGTTGCCTGAGGGCTCATTCCAACAAATGAGCACCGCTGTCGGGATACTGGAGCCTTCTGGCCAAAAAGAAATTGACACCTTTATTCTGGCCTTTGGTTTCAATCCTTTCCTATACAGAAAGAAAAAACTACTTCATCAGGGATAATAAAACCCACCTCAGAGAGTTGGGTGACATAATCAAGTGATCCTTTTAAAATATAAGGAGCAATCTCATCACTTATCTGTTCAAAATTCTCAAAGGCAGAAAAGAGCCCTGAGACGAGAGAGGAGGAGAGGAGTTAAGGTGAAGGGTGGAATTCAGGCCAAGGTTTCACAGGCAGAGTTTCCTGCTGGGAGAGGAACAAGAATGCTTCTTGAGAAAGGTAAAAATAGGAAGATTTTTCTAAAATAAAAATCTGGTTAACTCAAAAAAAACAAAATAATAATTAAAAAAAAAAAAACCTTCACTAGCTTCCCATCTCAGCCTCCCCGTTTCAATCCCATTCGGCCCACCGAGTTCTTTTCCTCTCTGCCCACCTTCCCTCCCCTCTGCTGCAGCCATGGGCTCCCTGATGTTCTCCAGCACTTTGTGCACACTCCCAGTCAAGGCCTTTGCACTTGCCCTTCTGACTCCCTGCAAAGCCTTGCCCCAAATGCAGACACTTGCCCTCACCCCCTTCACATCTTTGCTTACTGTTCCCCTCTCAGTGAGGCCATATATGTAAAATCACACCTCCTGCATACAGGCCCTATCTCCTTCCATGCTTTATTTTTTCTACAGCACTCATTACCTTCTAATGTACTATAAAAATTACTTATTTATTTTGTTTATCTCCAGTACCCCTTGCTAGATATAAATGCAGGGGCATCAAATTTTGTCCATTTTGTTCATTGCTGTATCCCAGTGACTAGAACAGTGCTTGGCAAGCAGAAGGTACTCAATATGTTAGAAAGAAAGAGAGGTAGGGGAGGAAGGGAGGGAGGGAGGAAGGAAGGAAGGAAGGAGGGAGGAGAGGGGAGGGGAGGGGAGGGGAGAGAAAGAAGAAGGAAGGAAAGAGGGAGGGAGGTAGGAAGCAAAAGAGGGAGAGAGACATAAGTCATTTTCACAGTTCCTGGCAAGTAGAAAGTCTTTAGTAAATGGCAGCTTTTATTACTAGATAGGGAAAACAAAGCCTAGAAAGAAGAAAACATGACTTGGTCAAAGCCCACAGCAAGTTGTTGATGGGGCCAGCAGTAGGCCCCAGGTTCCCTAAGTTGCGGCACATAGCAGGCCCTCAATAAATAGTCACCATTTTTATTATTTTACTCCTTGGCAAAATACATATGTGGTAAACACTTGCATTCATTTCAGGTTTAACACTTTGCCTTCCTATTATGTGTCCAGCACTTTCACATTTAATATGCATAATAGTTATTGGAGGTGAGAATGTTTCTTTAATTGTAATCGTGAGAACCCTGTGCTCAGAGAGGTCAAGTGACCTCCCAAGGTCACACAGCTGGTAAGTGGTGGAGTCAGAATTCATCTCCAGACCTGTGATTTCAAGTCCAGTGGTCTTTTCCTCATAATGCAGAAGAGGGGTGTGGCAAAAGGTGCCAACAGCTTTGGAATGAAATCCTTCACACCCTCCCAAATGCAAACCTCCCTCCACTTAGCCTCAGGCAGGTTTTCATCTCTGCCTTGACCTTGAGAGAAACCTGCTGGCACTGTGGCGTCTGCCTTTGAAAGTCAGCTGCCTGTTTTTCAGACTCATAAATTGCCTGTAAGAAGTGTTTCATTATTCTGTCCAGGCGACATCAAATACCTAAGCTGTATTTCATGAAAGTTCCCCTTCAGATGCAGGCCACAGGGTAGGTAGCATTTCTGTCTCCAGGAAACCCCTGAAATCCACCTTTTGGATTATTCCACTTGAGACAAATTAGAAGTGAAAGCGGCTGCCTGCACTCTTTCATGTTCAAGGGGAGCCGGGTGGTGTGGGCTGCCAGGCACCAAAGAATTCTTTATTCTTCCGTCACAGGGGAAATTGAGGAACGAAAGTAAACACCGCACTTTCCACTCCTACATCAGTCATGGGGGCACCGAGTGGAAGCCCAAAAAGTGTCATTCCAAGGCAGAAAGCTACTGAAAGGGCTGGGACTGTCACACCCAGAGATGGCCTCCGTCAAAACTGTACATTTGATGGAGATAAGTGTTGTCCTGTAATGATCTGAAAGTCAGGAGTCCTCAATGCAAAACCCAGCTTAGCCATTACATGGCTACGTGTCTTTAAGCAACTCACTGCCCCTCTCTACACAGTGACCAGGTGACCTGTCACTAAAATCCTTACTAGTTCCATCATGCTGTGGCTTTTGCATTGACCAATACACTCAAGTCACTCAAACTAGTAACGTATTTACTATATAAATGAAAAACGAATGAATATAAAGCCAATTGCTAAGCTTGATAAGCCAAAAGCTTCTCAAGTCTATCAGTTGACTTTTCACTTTGACACCAAATCTTTCTTGATCCCTAGTGTATGTCAAGCAAACACCATTCTCTTCAGGTGTTTACAGTCATGCACCATATACTGATGTTTTGGTCAATGATGGACAGCATATACACAAATGGTCCCACAAGATTACAATACTGTATTTTTACTGTGCCTTTTCTGTATTTAGATACAGAAATGCTTACCATGGTGTTATAACTGCCTACAGCATTCAGCACAGTACCATGCTGTCCAGGTTTGTAGCCTAGGAGCACTAGGCTATACCACATAGGCTAGGTGTGTAGTAGGCATCACCATCTAGCTTTGTGTAAGTACAGTCTATGATGTTCGCACTGCCATGAAGTTGCCTAAGGAAGCATGGCTCAGAGCACATTCCTGCCATTAAGCGATACATAACCGTATATGTTCGTTGCCTTCCCTAAGGAAGTGGTGAAGCCAGCACAGACAGAGATTATGAGAGAAGATCCTCGGTGCTGCCCTCACAATGCCAGCAACAGTCCTGGAGGGAGGGCAGCTAACATCGATGAAAGGCATTCTCTCTGCAGGGCACGTATATATTACTGTACTAATATCTCGGACTAACCCTAGCAGGTGTGTATCGTTATTCCTACTCTAAAGTAGGGAAACTGGGACCTGAGATGATACAGCTCTTAAATGATGATGCTGGATTCAAATTCAGTTCCATTTTTCCAGGCTCTACTTGCTTCACTCCTGGCCAGGCCTCCTATAATACTAGGGGGAAGCCAGAGGCTCTAAAAGAGCACCACTGCCTCCAGCTGAGGGGTCTGGGGAGGCTTCCTGGAAGAGAAGGCGTTTCTGAAGTGGGCCTGAAGCCAGTCAGGATTTGGACATTCGATCCCACCACATTTGCACACACATGTGTGGACGCACACACACTCACACTCACAAACACACATGTGCACACTCACACACACAAATACACGTACACACACTCACACGCACACACAAGCATACACTCACAAACACACGTGCACACACACACACGAGCACACTCACACCCACTCTCTCACACACTCACTCACACACACTCTCACACATTTCTGTGTGGACTCAGGGTGGCCCACAGCCACTGACCGGGCTGGAAGAATGTGTGTACACACTTGAAAGAGAGCTGTTATTTTAGTGCTGGCGACACTCCAGCCATGAAAGTGGGGGGTCCCAGCACAGTTATTATTTCTTTTTCCACCAGCAGAAAACATCTGTCCAGTGAAAATTATATTCACTAAGAGATCAGCAGCATACCTGCCGGGAGCCCCCAGCCCTCCCCTCCCAGCCTTCCTGTCAGCAGAAGCACGGCCAGTGCTCGAGTGGGGTAGACTGTGCATCTGCGGGCTCTCAGCCGCCTGTGCTGGCAAGAAAGAGTGTGTCCTCTGACAGGATACCCTAAGAACTACTAAATGGAGCTCAGGACTCTCATAAACAGAACTTGAACTCCACCTAAACAGTCTCTAGGTCACCCTTAGCTGGCACTTACTCGTAAGTCACCTAAACAGAATGCCACCCTCATTTGACAGAATTCAAAACATGGTAGGAGGAAAGACGGGTAGAGAGGAATAAATTTTCAAAGGCCCTAATATGTCCCAGCGCTGTGAAAGGTGCCCCTCTTTCTCTCTCTACCTCCAACAGACCACCCTGGCACTGGGGCCCTCTGCATACTCGCCCACTACTTTTTGGTGCCTACCGGAGATCAGAGAGGCGGCATGTTGTGCTGGACACAGCTCTGGTTTTGGAGTACTGAACCCAAGATCATGCAGGTAAACAGGCAGGACTGAGACAGGATGCAGAGAGTGGGACTGCAAGGTATTTGTCCCTTACATCCTTACCCATAGTACTTCCCTACAGCAAGTAGTCCCAGTTGACTGTGATGTTAAGAATATTTATAGGTGCAGTGAAAAGATAAGCAGCATTTAGATTGGGAAAGGCTTTGAAAGCCAGGATAATGAATTTGAGCTTAATTCAGAAAGCACTAGGGAGCCACTGAAGGTTCTTGAGAGGGAGGGCTTATCAGGTTTGCATGTTGGAGATTCAAATATGATCCATTATAAAGGATACACACATAGAATCTGTAACACATAAAATCGTTTTCAACTCTGGATTCCACATGGGTGCTAGTTTACAGAGAGGTCCCCCCAGAGACCAACCTGATCAGCAGACATTGTGAATCATCCTTGTGAGAACTGGGAACAGGCAGCAGCCGGCCCACAGGTACAGCCGATGGAGGCTGAAAGGACTGAGCATGTACAAATTTGGGAAATACCCATGCCATGCCCCTCTCCCAGAAGCAGGGCCCATATCTAGTCCTGGAACAGATTTCCCTGAGAAAAGGAAAGAAAGGCACCTGGCCCCCAGCATGAGCATGGCTCATGACCTGGAGCAGCAACTTATGTCCCCTCTGGGACCCGTTTCACTCTTGTGTGGACCAGGCAGTCTGGACATAAGTCATATTTGATCAGGTGCTCCTTATAAGAATAAGCAGGAGTCACGGCCCTGCTCTGTGCCAGGCTTTATGTTAACTAAGTCATACCATCTCTCTTGTCCCTGGCTTTCACGGACTGGGATTTCCTATGGGGCAGGACCCACGTCTGATGTATCTTCACAACCTCAGTGCACTAGACGTGGGCTCTGGAGTTATACTCTGAGTTCAAGTCCAAGCTCCCCCAATCACTAGCCATGTGACTTTGGGCAAGTGACTTTACACTGTAGTCCCTCACTTTGTCTCTAAAATAGTAATAATAATTGCCTAATTGTAGGGTGGTTGAGAGCAAATGACTTAAACCTTAAGGTACTTAGGGAAGATCAAGGCCGGGCACATGGTCAACAGCTGATAAATGTTAGCTATTGGTAAGATGAATTAGAGCCATGTGTCAAGAGAGCTACTCTAAAGGACCAGTGAGAGTGCTGTGCAACCTTGGAAGAGGGCAGGAGGGAAGGTCTAGGGCCATCTTACAGGAGTGGAGGCATTCGATCCAGCAGAGCTCAAAGGCTGAAGTGTGCTTGAAGCCCAAGAGAGTGGGACAGTGGAGGGCAGTGCATGGGGAAAGATAGATGGGTCCCAGGTTGTGGACGACATCACAAACGGACTAAGGATTTAGACTTCATCCAGAGGCAATGGGATCCGTCCAAGGGTTTTCAGTAGGGACTAACCTGATCAGACTTAGAGAGGGGACTCTAGAGCAGAAAAAGAATGGCCTAGAAGGGACATCACAGTGGCAGTTAGACCAGACCCACCAGGAGAGAGCTAGCTAACAAGGCTGGCTGGGGCAATAATGAAGAGGAAGGAAGGAGAGGAGTCTCCATGGCCCACGGACAGATCTCAGTGAGGAGGGAGGAGGAGTTCACGGGGTCTCTCAGCTCCCTTCAGCTCTGACATTCTGGGATTGTAGATTTCCTCCAAGACCCTCCACGTGGCCACAGCTGGGCAGCATGCACACTTTGAGGATCTTATTCCAGCTCCTTGGAGCTCATGAAGCAAAAAGCTTCCCTGGGGGGAGTTTGGAAGTCTCTTCATTGGCTGTGCTGTTTCCTCCCATCTCTCTCCAAAAAGTCAGGGGAATTACAATCAAAGCTAGAGCCAGGCCTGGTCAGGGACAAGGAGGGGCGGAGGCCATTCTCTAAATCCAAGGGGATCTGCATCCCCACCAGATAGCTTCATGCTCTCAGCTTCCATCAATCACACTCATGGCCTCCATCCCAACTGCATGCAGCAATCTCTGCTGTAAACACTGTTTGTTGCTCCAAGAGGTTCATCATACTTGGAGAGGCTCTGCCACAAAGCATGCTGGGAGCTTGATGAGGTTGGACCAAGGGAGGATGAGGCAGCAGACTTAGGACTGGGTGATAAACAAGTAAGAGATGCTGTCCCTTCTGGAGAAAGTGTGCCAAAGGAAGAAAGCAGAAGGGAGCTAGTATTTATTGAGGGCCTTCTCCTGGCTGGGTGCTTTGTAGGTATCCTCCTAATCTGTCATATCAACAACCCAGCAAGGGAGCTTTTGTTACTATCATTTTGCCAATGATAACGTTGAAAATTAGAATGTTAAGTGATTTGCCTAATTTCTACAGGGATTAAATGGCATGAGCGGATTCTGACCCAAATTCATTAGCCTCCAAAACCTGTGCATTCATTTATTTATTTATTTATTCATCCAACAAAAATATTTCATGGGCCTACTATGTGCCAGGCACTGTATCAGAGACCAGAGATCCAAGACACATACATTTCTCAGCCATTTCATGGGAGAGACAAACAATATCAAGTTAATAAATGAACAAGATAACTCCAGGTGGTGATACATTGTGAAGCATATAAAATAAGGTGAGCCGATCTAGAGCCAGGTTGTTCAAATGCGGCCTAGATTCCAAATCTTGCCCATGGTCTGTCTTTGTGTGGAAGTGAAAGCTAAGAATGGTTTTTATATGTTTAAAGGGTTGTAAAACAAACAAAAGAAAATATGCAAGAGAGATAGTATATGTCTCACAAAGTCTAAAATATTTACTATCTGAGCAGACAAAGTTGTCAGCCCCTAGTTAAGAGACTGAAGGGGCATCCTTGGTAGTGGATGGTGGAGAGGAAGGACAGGAGGCTCCCAGGCCCACTGACAGGCCTTGGTGAGGAAGGAGGGCAAAGGGGGATTGGGAGGGTTACAGAGTCTTTCAGGGAAGAGACTCTAAGTGGAGGTGATTTTGAACTGAGACCTAATGATGGAAAAGAACCACCAGCTGAAGAGACCCACAGAATGAGAACTCCAGGTAGAAGGAACAGCAAATGAATGTGCAAAGGCTTTGAGGTAGAAACAAGCTTAGCATGTTCAAGAAACAAAAAGAAGACCAATGTCCCTCGAGTGCAGGAAACAAGAGGGAAAGTGCTGCCAGCTGAGCTCAGGGGCAAGCAGGAAGCAGGTGACATAAGACTTTCTGGGCCAAGACGAGGAGTGTCCTTTCCACTAGGCCCTGCCCTGTGGTGTGGCAAAATCAAATGAGAATCTAGTGGATGTCAGTCTGGCTGGGGTGTCAGTATGTCAGTATCACAGTCTAGTGGTTCAAGGACAGTCATCAGAATCTGGGTGCAAGAGACACTTGAGTCAAACAGGTGGTAGCACCAACTCCCAGATGATGTGGTCATTTAGCTTAGGACCGTCCCCAGTGGTCAGAGGGTACCAGGAAGATGCTCCAGGATGAACAGGGTTTCAGGAGCTTGGCAGGCTGTCAGGACTCTTGCCAAACGAACTGGGATTCAAGGTAGGGCTTGAGCTCCAACAGGAAATGGAGAAATAAATACGACAAACCACGAATGACAGATGATGTGATGGAGTTGATGGTTAAAAACAGAGACTTCCTGAGCGTTTGGCTACCCTGGCCTTACCGCTCCACATCAAGCCCTGGGACCATGCCACATATACTGGCCTCCTGCCCACCGTGTATGCCCTATTCTGGTCAGGTAAGACTCAGGAAATGAGTGGGGCCGATCCAGGGAGAGGAGAGCAACAGCGACTCCTCCTGGAAGGAGCTGGAGAGGTAGATGCTGGTAAAACTGCAGAAAGTGAGTTTACATGGCTAATCACTGCTGCATCCGTGGTATGGCCATCTGTGCAAGCACGCTACAGGGGACTTATCCACTTTCACAGGTAAATTCCTATATGATCTGCTTGCCCAATTCCTGGCCATGGGGAGGGAGAGGAGAGAATCATCCGTGTGGATCAACTGTAACATTTTGTACTTTGGCGACCACTTAGTTTAAAATGCCTGTTCTCCTAAGCGTGTCCCCAGGCAAAATGTGTGCTGTAATTTGATTTTTTAAAAACAACTTTTATTGTTTTTTTTCTTATTATAAGAGCAACACATGTTCCTTTCAGGAAAATCAGAAAATATAGAGAAACCAAAAGGAAGAAAATCAAAAACATTCATCCATCCACCCAGAGACAGTCATTGTTAATGCCTTGATGTTTACTTTCCAAACTTTTCTTTGTGCATACATAGTTTATTACACAAATGTAACCCAAATATCCTCTGGGTCTCACCGATTGTGGGCTCACCTGAGGTACGATTAGTGGTTACACTGCTGACTTGATGGCTTCTACCTGCCTGTTATCAGGTTCCCAACCACTTGTCAAAGGCCTTCCCCCACATCCCTGGACATCTTTAGGGGGCTCCACGCACTCTCCGATGCCAGTCCATGCCTTGCCTGGGCCTCTGTTCCTGCTCACCTGCAAGTTGCCCTTTTTGCTGCCCCCATTTGCCCCTCCCAGCTGGCCTGGGAGGTATAAATTGGGATTAAGCACCTACTAGATGTGACATGCATGACAGTGTGAGCCACACTGTACTAAGTCTTGAAAGGGGGCACAAAGTTAATGTGGTTTGTGCCCTGAAGGGACTCACAGTCTAATGAGAGACAGGTACAGACAGAGATGACCTTGATGTGAGACAGGCATGTGCTCCTTGTCATAAGTGGCCACAGGGAGTGTGCTTTGGGCATACGATGCTAGGTTCCAGGAAGGAGGAGGTAGCGTTTTTCATGGGCCTGCAGGATGGCTGGGATCGCATTCAGGAGGTAAGAGAGAGACAGACAAGTAAGCCAGGAGAAGGGTCAGGCTGTGGGTATGGGAGCTGGGAGGTGAGGGCCTGAGGAAAACACGCAGGGGCCTAATTGTGTAGAACAGAGAGAGTGAAAGGAGAGAGTGGTGAGAAACAAATATAGAAAAATACACTGGGACCAGGTCACAAAGCAAATCAGGGCCACTGATGAGATCACGGTCAGGAGAGGCAGAATGGAAAATTCAAGAGGAAAACTCCGTTTTAAGAGTATAGTCCTTAAATAATTTTTCTTGAAAATCAGTTTCCACTAACTCATTATCCTTATGCCAAATATTATCATATGAGCATAGAAAATTACACTAAATACATCTTTATGATCCTAAAGTTGACGATATTAATTTTGATCTGCAATGAATATTTAAAAATAAAATTCTATACTTTCAATCTACCCAATATTTCTGTGGTCATTTTTCCACATTTAGATAGAAAAGTCATGACTATTCAATGTCTATGTCTAGGTGAGGTGTACTCTTGGCATTTCAGGACACACCCTTCCTTATTACTGTCCCTCCTTGGAGCCTCTGCACCTGCTGTGCCCACTGCCTGGAACAGTTTTTCCTCTTCCACTGCCTCTTTCATATTTTCATATTTTCCTCTTCCACTTCCATCTTTCATATTTCAGCTTGAACATCACTTTCTTTGACTCTCCAGTTCTGGGTTAGGTCTCCCTATCTACATTCTTGGGGTGGTCAGTCTTTCTTATTAACACTTAAAAAATTAAATAATTTAAGGGTACACTCAGATGTGAGGGGGTGATCTGGCTGTGACATCTGTCACCCCATTGATTGCCAGGGATGACTTGGTTGACCTGGCTGGCTAGGCGGGTGTCCCCTTCCTCCCTCACCGCTCCATGTGAGTCCCTCCCAAAGCTGTGTGCTCGGTCAAAGAGAACGACCATCTCCGGCAGAGGAGGACCAGGCTTTGGTCAAGGATATATGAGTAGCTGCACTCCCCTGCTAGAATCTCCAAACTTAATGGTACACTCATGCACACATGTTTAAATTCAAGCAATCAAGGCCTACATCTCCCACTTAAATGGAAGCTCAATGAGGGCAGGAGCTTTTTGTGTCTGAACTGTTTTTGCATGTAGAGACAATCAGTAGGCATTTCTCAAGTGAATGAATGTCACTCCCTTTCCAATTATGATTCCAAGAAGTTTTTAATAATTCCAAGATTTTTTTTAAAAAAAATTTGTTTTCTCAAAACAACTATCAGGTAAATTTTTACAACAATCATGCCTTCATTTTTATTTGTATTTGATTTTTCCTAGTCTCCTTACTTCTAGAAAGAATTTAAAGGAAATTTATGTACAAGACAACAGACCTGAGAAGCTTTAAAATTTAAGAGGACCTATATTTGATGTACAAAGTGATTTAAATCCATGATCTCTGCCTAGACTGCCTGGGCAGGACTAAAGCCCAGAAGATTCCTTTTCCCTATACTATTTGCAAATGTGCTTCTTCTTTTGGGTAGGCCTTCTGAGTAGTTCACCTTAAAGCTACATGAGGAAGGGACCAGGGCTTCACTAACTCCAGGTGCAGTGTATAAAAGCATGCTATCAGTTCAAATCTTTGGGATTAATTATTGCCTCAAAAGCCTTGTGAAGGGTTTATTATCCCCAATTAGATGAAGAAACTTAGGCCCAGAAAAGTGAATGACTTTGCCCAAATCACAAACTGAAGAAATGGAACAAAAGTGAGCTTTTCTGGGGAACTAAGACTAGATGCTTACTGCTCTCTGCTGCCCCCTATTGGTGTGGAGAAGAAAGAGCAAGCCTCTCTGGGTTTGCTCCAGAAACGAGCCCTGTTTTCCCACAGTGGGCGAGGGGCACCGGGCATCCTGGCACGCATCCCCTGCCAGCTCCCCTTGCCTTTTGTCTCCCTGCTCTCCCACCCCACCAGATCCTCAGGATCCCTAATTGCTCCAGTTTATGGGCTAATAACCAGAATCCAAGAATTGGAGCAGTGGGTTTAAGGGCCAGCAGGGCCAGCAGTGCCAGGCTCGCTGGACACACTGCGTGGCCTCTTCATTTCAGCCCAGTGCCTTGTCACCTGCCCTCTGAGTTCTAGGTGCAGCACTGGGAGAGGACCAGAGATAGGCAGAGCTCAGCACTAATCCACATGTGTGTCCACAAAAGGGCCTCACTCCTGCACAATAGGGCCTGTTTCCTTCTCTTAGACAGAAGCGGGATAATAGTGGCTTCACTAGGACATTGTGAAATTGAAACAAAATTCTAAGTTAGGTACTCAGAAAATGTCCACGTCCCTCGCTTCCCTTTCTGTTTTTGCTGGCAGTGTCGGCAATGACTGAAATATCGATTTCTCTCCTGCCCTGCTCCTAGGCAAGGGCCTTAGGGCTGATTTTCTGGCGGTGAAGTCACTGGACGCAGAGCCAGGAGGATGAGTAACTGCCTCTCTCCTGCTGAACTTCATCTTCTACAGGTGTCTGAGGCAGACGCAGCTCAGGCTCCTTGGCCCAACCCGGAATCAGGCCCTCACACCCAGCATGTGCTATGAGCTAACAAAGCAATCACAGCCAATCGTGGCTATAAATCCCCGGTGTTTATAAAGTCTTTGTGTATCTCTAAACTTGAATAACCCCAAGTCCCATGGGACTAGAGAAAACAAGCTACAATTGTTGTTTACCCATCAAAAGCGCATTCTTCAGAGGAATGAGGAGGCCAGGGCACAGATGTTGCTCAGTAAAGAAGCCAATGGCAACTGGGGAATGGTTGCAATGGTGAAAAAAATCTGATCAAACAATGCTTTTACATGGGATGAAGGAGAGAGCAGGGCTTGAAACAAAGAAATCAGCCTGGATGGCACTAAAGCCCAGAAGATTCCTTTTCTCTGTACTATTTGCGGATGTGCTTCTTCTTTGGGGTGGGCATTCCAAGTGGTTCCCCTTAAAGCTACGTGAAGAAGGGCCAGAGCCTCGTTGACACCAGATTCAGTGAGTTATAAAAGCATGCTATCAGTTCAAATCTTTGGGATTAATTGTTCTTTTGGTGAAGATGGAGAGAAACAAGTTTGTTACCCAACCAAGAGATGGGGCCAACATGGCAAGGATAGGAGCAGGCTGGGGTTCAGGAGCTCACCCCAAGCACCCTAGTTATCAGTTCTAAGGCAACAAGCCAGCTCAGAGACAGCCTCCCCAGGTAGGTAGACAGTGCTGAGCCCTGCTGGTGCTACGTAAGCTTGGCTCAGGGCCTGTTGGGGTGAAATTCTAGGGCACTGGAGTGGGTGGGGATGTCAGAGAGGAAGTGTACTTTGAGAGAACATCTGGTGACAAGATCAACCCCTTCATGAGTAAACTGAGGCCAAGAGCAGAGAAGAATAACAGCCAATCTTGCCATTCATTTGATTCATATTACTCAAAATGAATGGACAATTGCAGGCCTCTTGAATTTCAGTGCAGTGCCATTCGTTCTGAGCTCTTTACTCATAAGAATAGAATTTAAGGGTTGTCAGGGCCTGAATCTAATTCTGTGATGATAAAAGTGTGAGCTGTATGATGCCAAATTGCCTGCTACCCACTCATGTAGCTGGAGTTAGTATGTATCTACAGGTTTGTTTCTTCCCAAAAGGCTTTCCCAAACTCCTTCTGCTGAGCATGCGTAACTCCTTGGTTTTCTTTTAAGAGAAAGAATGCACTGCTCCATTCCATGAAATCTAAGTGGGGCTGTTAGTCAGTCTTCTACCCGCTTAGCCACAAGATTGAGGGCATGTGACCTGAGTCTAGCCAATCAAAATATTCTCTCCTGGCCACAGTGATTGGCTTGGATATGGGCAAGGCCAAACATAGCCAAACCTAGCCAATCATAATATTCTCTCCTGGCCACAGTGATTGGCTTGGATATGGGCAAGGCCAAACATAGCCAAACCTAGCCAATCAGAAACCACTCCAGGACTTGTCTACTAAAGTTAGCTGGGAGGCCAAGCTTAATAATCTTCATAATCTGAGAAGCCTTTGCTTCAAAACGAGATGTTTCAGTAGTTGAACTATCAACTACAAACCTAGAATGACTTTACAGCTCCCTGCCACCATATCTCACATTTGAAGAACCTGTTTATGTGAAAGCCTAGAAGAGAAAGGAAGGAATTGAACCTCCCAAAACTGGGTTTAAGCCAACTTCGTAACTACGATGACTTTCTCGGTTAAGAGTTACTATAGTAAAATAATCATATAACTTTGCCAAAGTTAATTTACATGTTAGAACCCTTTCTATCTTCAGGGCATATCCATTTCAATTAGGCTTCCAAGATGCTATGTCACCTATCACAGAACTCCTTCACTTTCATGACCACACCCTAATAATTGTTTTTTTAATGAGCTCATTAGTACTTTACATTATCTCCCTGATATTAACAACTAAAACTCACACAAACACAATGGTATGAACTATTTTACCTGCCATTATCTTAATTTTAATTGCTCTTTCATCATTATGTATATTATATATAATAGATGAAATTATAACCCCTCCCTTACCATCGAAACTATAGGACACCAATGATACTGCAGCTATGAATACACAGATTATGGAGACCTAAAGTTTGATTCGTCCGTAATTCCTACAACAGACTTAAAACCAGGAGAACTGTGGCTACTTGAAGTTGATAATCAAGTAATCCTCCCCATAGAAATATCAATTCGCATCAATTGCATCAGAAGATGTTCTATATTCATGAGCCGTGTATCATTAGGCCTAAAGCCAGATGCAATCCCAGGACTTTTAAACCAAGCAACGTTGACATCTACATGGCCAGGTCTTTACTACAATCAATCCCCAGAAATCTGCAGATCTAATCACAGCTTCATGCCCATTGTTCTTGAACTGGTACCTCTAAAATGCTTTGAAAATTGAGCAACGTCTATATTATAATATCACTATAGAGCTAACTAGCATTAACCTTTTAAGTTAGAGACTGAAAGTTATGATTCTTCCACTGAAATGCCCCAACTAGACACATCCACATGATCTATTACTATTATATCCATAATCCTATCACTTTTCATTCTACTTCAACTAAAAATTTCAAAATTCACCTATCCAACAAATCCAACACCAAAAACGTTTGGAACACAGAAACATGAAACATTTAGAAGTTTAATTGGCTCACAGTTCTGCAGGCTTTACACGAAACATGTTGCTGGCATCTGCTCAGTTTCTAGGGAGGCCTTAGGAAACTTACAATCATGGTGGAAGGTAAAGGGGGAGCAGGACTGTCACATGGCGAAAACGGGAGCAAGACAGAGAGAATGGGATCGGGGGAGAGGTGTGCCCAAACACTTTTATATGACAAGATCTCATGAGAACTCACTATCACGAAAGACAGCGCCAAGCCACAAGGGATCCACCCCCATGATCCAAAAACCTCCCACCAGGCCCCACCTCTAACATTGGCGATTACAATTCACTATGGGATTTGGGCAGAGACAAATATCCAAACTATATCACTTGCTGTCCTGACTAATATTGTTAATCCCTCACAAAGCTCTTTACTGTAGAGCCCAGATATAGTCTCATGCTTCTCAATATAATATTCCAAGTCATTGACATGTTGATATGATGAAACTAATTGGCCTTTGCAGATTCTAATCCAATGCTTTCATTTGGCAAATGAGGAGACAGAGGCACAGAGAAGGAAAAGAATTTGCATAAGGTCATGGCCAGCAAATGATAGAAACGGGTTCACACCCCTACTTGTCATTTGCTATGCCTTGATCAACCTATTGTCCAGCTAAAAGACCTGCTGCCAAAAATTGAACAATAGCTCATGCAAAGCTCTGCATCATGAGTCAGGATTCAGACCCTCTCCACTTAGTACCCCAGCCCCTTAGCTGTATTCCTGTATAGCCTTGATGCTGCTCAGAATCTCAGTGTGAGATTTCATGTGCTCTGTCAGAACACAGTTTTTTGTTTGTTTGTTTGTTTGTTTTTGAGACAGGGTCTGGCTCTGTCGCCCAGGCTACAGTGCAGTGGTGTAATTTTGCTCACTGCAACCTCCACCTCCTGGGCTCAAGCCATCCTCCCACCTCAGCCTCCCAAGTAGCTGGGATTATAGATGCATGCCACCACACCTGACTAATTTTTGTATTTTTTGTAGAGAGGGGGTTTTGCCATGTTGCCCAGGCTGGTCTCAAACTCCTGAGCTCAAGGGATCCATCTGCCTCAGCCTCCCAATGTGCTGGGATTACAGGTGTGAGCCACCGCGCCCTCAGAACATAGTCTTGAGGGGGACTCTGAAGAAAGCTTCCTGTGTTGGCATTAAAGGAATAAAGAAAGGTCCGTTTTACTTCCACTTTCCTTGTCAACAAGACCAGTTCCATGGAAGATTCTTCTCTAATGCATACTCATTCATCTGGCTCCCTCATGCTTCATGGCCTCAGAGCTGAATCCTTGATTCAGAGGTGCTCTGACCTGAGGAGAATGTTCCTCTCCTCTAATTCAGGCACTATACTTCTTTTAGTACAACCTAAGATAGCACCAGCTTTGGGGGCAACCATATATTAACAGCAAAGAATCAAAAAGCAAGGAGGAAAAGCAACTGAAAGAAGCAAGAATTTTTAGCCTGAAAATGAGAAAATTCAGAGAAAGCATACTATTTTCATATTTTTGAAGGATTGTCATGAGACAGGAAAATTTGATTTCTGTAAGAATCCAAGGAGAAGAATAAGAGTGAACCTCTAAGGAAACAGATGTATAGGTCTAGAAACTGAGGCTTTGAGAGTGTAAATGACTCACTTGCATCCACACAGCACATTTTTTACCAAAGAGGAATGTCAACTGAGACCTCCTAAAGAGTCAAATAGCTGGAGACAATTGGGCGACACAAACTTAGGTTCAAATCCAGTTGCCACCACTTCCTCCCTTGGGTGGAAATTCTCTGAACCTTCTCATCTACAAATACTAGTGCAAACCTGCTGGGGCTCTTAAAATCAAATGACACTCTGTGGATGATGTGTCTATCATGGGGCTCAGCTCATACTGACACTCAATCAATCTCACTTCTCTCACCTTTCCCCTTTTCACACCACATCATCTCTTCTTTTCCTGTAATTTGAACAGCAGAGGATTCACTTTAACCCAGTGTCCAGAGTAGGGTTTTCTTGCTTTAATTGAAGGACAGTTACACTTAGCTCGTCCATTGCCTGATCCCACAAGAGAATCAAGCCACAACAACATCAGCAGGAGAGTAGGTGCTCAGAAAGCATCTGATAGTACTGAAGAATATGGGAAAATAATGCTTCTGCCACACCCTGCACCTTACTGGCTGTCTCCATGAGCACCTCATCCATTACCTTCCCAGCAAAAGCAATTGTCTGTTCCCTCCTGTCACCAAAGCTGATGCTCCATTTGCCTCAGCCATGCATGCCAAACTGAGTTCTCAGAATATACTTTGCCAGATCCAACCTCCAAACCTTTGTCTAGACTCTTCTCTATGCCTGGATTTTTTCCCTCTTTTTCTATAAGGTAAACATCTTATCCATTCTTGAAAATTTGGATGATTGCACATCATCTTCTGCAGACCTTTCCTGTGGTCTCCAGACTTGTTAGTCTTGGCTTTGTTTAAAATGAATTGAATTGCCACATACAAAAGACTCAATAAAAACTACCTTTTGTCATCATTGCCAGCCCCATCATCACTGGCTGGAGTGTCATCTGCCTTGGAGGCATAGCTACGGAAGTCTAGAGAGCACTGGAATGGTAACTAAACAGTGAGTACAGCAGGGTTCTCACACTTTTGGACGGGTGGGGGTTCTACAGTAATTTTATTGTAACAGAGAAACTAAGCTGCAATAAGTCTATATGATTAGAGCAGACGGTGGCTGTCTTTCCAAAGGGTGAAGCCTGAGTCCAGCCGGCAGCACACAAAGCCCAGAATATCCTCTTTCCTGGCACTATCCTGCACCGCCTGACTCATGGTGTGAGATGAGTGACTGTACAACCACATTCAGTGAAGATAAGAGGTCTCACTGGGTAGAGGCAACAACCCAACAGGAGACAACTACAAAATCGATGAAGAAGATGCGGAAATAAAATGCAGTTGCCTACTCTCCACTATTATTTGGCAAGAAAGTTGAGAGTATGGCATGAGCAGAAACTTATGTTCTTTGTTCTTAAATAAATCCCAATAGAAATGGGGTTATTATCAAACAAGCAGTAGAATGAGATGAACAACTAGGTTAGATAAAAGTATTTGTGCATAAGGAAAAGAAGAGCAATGATAAGAGAGAAGAGATGGCCTTCTCTTTTACTTAAATAAGACAGGAAACAGCATCTTTTATTTTCCTTGCTGCAGTGGCTCATTAATTTTCATAAAACACAGTTTCTGCAATACGGTATATTGATAAGGTTGCTCCATCACGGGAGGACAAACATGAGGCTGACTATTAATGCCAGAACTAGGTCTGCTCTCAAAGCCTCTAATGAGTACCGTTTCTCATGAGGAACCCCTGACACCATACGACACTTCAGTTAAATCATCTGAAATATTGCAAGGGCATGATTGGCAGGGTTTTTTTGGCGCTATGACTTTCTTGCACATGTAAACTCTTTCAGAAAAGTTGGCCATAAAAGGATAAAGAAGACTTTGATTTAGAGCCACAAAGTTCCAGACGCCAGTCATGAGTGCCTCTGCCCTGTGTCACTACATGTTCTTTTCTGAGAATCACAGTCACTGAGAGTCATACATTATGGTTGAAAGAAATGATCCATTTACCACCATCCACCCTCCCTCATCCTCTGTGCAAAGCTCACAAGAGCAGAGGCTGAAAACAGAAAGGTTGTCTCTGTTCCCTCACACCAGGGATATTACTTGGTGACCTGGTAAATAGCATAGGCAAGGTAGCCCACGTTGCCAGAAGTGACCCCTGCCACAGAGATGTGGCCATCCTTTGTCATCTAGATGGAGAACTCCTTGGTCAGCCAGTCCATCTGTTCAGGCTTTAGCCCTGTGAAACAAAACTTGCCAACTTGCTCAGTGATATGTTGCCAGTTGTGGGAGGAATCCTCCTTCTTCAGAGGAGGATTGTGGGAGTTCTCCTCTTGAGGTTGAAAACCAGCTGAGTCCACATGCTAATGATGCAGTCGGCCATATTTTCACTTCTTGCAACCACTGTTTTTACAAATCCGGAGTGTTCAGAATGGTAGAGGCAATCCAGGCCTCATTGAGAGGAGAGTCACAATACGTGGGATGGATCAAGATTTTCAACTGTGACTCCACACTTTTGACTTCAGCCACATCTTTGCAGATTATAGTAAAGTCTCCCACACGCTCTCCATAAGCCCATGTTTTGGCATATGATTGGCAGAGACAAATGTTAATGCCCTGTTTGATGAAGTGGTACACAGCCCCGGCATCCTTGTTACCGTCACCTCTGGCAAAGCCTTGATAGGCCATGTCAAATAATGTAGAGATTCTTTTTCTTCACCCCATTGCTATTTCCTTCCACTGCTCTGGACAAGGGTCCTCTTCCATGAGATTATGGGCCCAGGCATGCAGGAGAAGAACACTTTGCGCTGGTATTTTTGAAATGTCCTCCATAGTGCCTGTGAAGTCAGAACCACAAGTCTTGGGGTCATAGTACTGATAAGCTTGTAGCTGTGTGCCAGCATCCCTGAAGTGTGTGATTTCCCTAGGATGGTTTGGGCAGAAAGACATCTCAGCTGAACTTTAAAACTCTTTACAGAAAACTGGTTCTGATCCTTAAGGCCCCAGTTCGAGAAATAGCCTGCACAGTGACAAACCAGTCGCTTTTCAACACTTCGCTGTTCTTACCCAGGGCTAGTCCTGCAGATGTCTTGCAAAATTCAGCCAGTACCCCAATGAGCAGGTATTCCTTGTCCAAATTTTTTGTGGCAGTCTGGGCCTCTGCCTTGCAGATGTTAGACAGCAGATAAAGCTTTCTGTTGTTGTCCTGGTTGGCACCAATTACCAGATTCACCTTTTTGCTATCAATGTCTCTCTTAAAGGCTTTGGTGACTCCCAGGATAGGATCTGGAAGTCCCATGTCCACGTGGGCCCGCCAGAAGCTAGTCCTGTTGGAGGCTGCCATGGCAAGGCCCAGTTGGAAGGCAGCGGTGATCCAGGAGGTGATGTAGCCTGAGTGCGGCAGGGCCATGGTGGACGGGAGGAGGGCAGTTGAGTAGCTGCAGAACAGAGTGGAGGGCAAGCGGGCCCCTCCCACTTTTTAAAAGCAGTCAGAACACTAACAGGGAAGGCAGCATGACCAGTTCAGAAGGCCACACACAGGGACTTCCACTCCTGGGGTGAATGTACCAATATGTGGCGAAGGACCTAGGCTAATCAAGCCCATGATGTGTAAACCCTGATGCCCTTAAACATATTGACAATGGAAATGGAACTCCTGAGGGAACCTGAAACCTCTATGCTCCCACTCTGGCTGACCTCCTGGATGATGTTTGATGAGCAGAGGATTGGAACCACGGAGAGCAGCAGTTGTAGAATTCAAATGCTCACTGTCATCAGTCTTCCCTCTAGAGAAATAGCCCCTGAAAGACCAGACAGTCTTGCCCTTGATCAGTGTGATTCCTACTGTCATAGTCTGCTCACACTGCCATAATGAAATTCCATAGATGGGGCGCTTAAACAAGAGAAATTTATTTCCCACAGTTCTAGAGGCGGAGAAGTCAAAGATCCAGGTGCTTGCTGATGTGGTTCCTTGATGAAGGTTCTCTTCCTAGCATGCAGGCAGCTGCCTTCTCACTGTGTCCTCACGAGGCAGAGAGAGAGAGAGAGGTAGGAGTGGGGAATCTCTGATGGTTCTTCTTATAAGGACACTAATCTCATCATGAAGGTCCTACTGTCATGACCTTATCTAAACCTATTCACCTCCCAAAGTCCCCATCTACAAATGCCATCAAACTGAGAGTTAGGGCTTCCATATATAAATTTGGGTCCATAGCACCTCCTCTCTACCAAGAAGCATCTGGGTCTATCTCCTTCAGAGACTGGCCTGAAGGAGAGTACAAGTGACCCTGTGACTGCCCAGCAGTGCACACAGCAGTCAGAGCAGAGCCTTGGGAGTCACAAAACCTGAGTCTGATTCAGGCTCCAGCATCGTCAGTTGTGTGACCATAAGCAGCTGTGTCCTTCCTGATCCTCAGTTCAGTTTACTTTTCTATAAAATAGCAGTAGTGATACCTACCTCCTAGGGCTGTTTTGAATATTAAATGGGATATTGTAAGACAGGCACTTCACATTGTCCTGTCAAAGAATCCATGCTCAGTAAACAGCAGCCGTTGTTTCCCAGGGTCGGGTAGCACAATGACCTCTTGGTTTTCTAGATCTGGAATGCCTCTATCTTGAGCCAAGCTTGAAGGAGTGCTGCCTCAGTAATTCATGTTCATTTATGTCCTTTGACTTCCCAACCCTTTTTCAATTAGTACCTTCTTTTTTAGATATGTTGATGGCCTTCTGGTCTTAAAATTAGTCTACTTTTCAGAGGGTGGTTCTTGCATATTTGTGTCCAACAGGTTTTGATTTACAGTCAAACCCTCAGAAGACAACCTTCCTTCTCTTTCAAAGTCTTTGTGGGCACCTCTTTAGCAAAATCGTTGAACTGCCTAACAATTCTTGGGAGAGGAAATTCCACAATTTTTGCATCCAATCCCAGAGAAGCTATTTCCTAGTGGTTTTGATAGGGTGAGGCATGAGGTTATGAGTGGGGTTTGGAGGCTGTAAGATGAGCCCTCATAGGGCTACTTATTGCTAGGTACGCTGCCCTCAGTGAGGTTGGGGTGCCTTCCTGGGCTAAACAGCTTAGTCTCACTAGGGCATGCATAAGTGTGGTAGCGGCAGTAGTGGTAGTAGCAGCAGTTACAGCAGCAGTATGAGATGGCCGTATTTTTCAGTTCAAGTATGTATTTTCTATGAAATGAGCTCATAGGCTCTGAATTGGTAGAGCACCACAGTTTAGCCAGTCCAATCTGTCATATTTGCAGATAAAGATGTAGAGAGTCACTAGCCTGGCCAGCCAAATTAAGGAAATGACCATGGAGAGCACTGAGATGATGAATGTGGATGTCCAACACTTAGCCTTCCATTTCACTGATGGAAAGCAGAGGGCCAAAGAGATCGGTACATTGTTAGAAAACCACAGTGCTAGTTAATGCTAATCTGAAGAACTTTCTGCCCTGGGAGTGACATATAGCCAAAGAAATGCATCGACAGGGCAGCAGAAATTATTTACCATATTTCTTAAATTTGTGTCAGATTACCTGTCTATATCATCTGTACTACATCTTGAGATAATATTTTTATAAACCTGCTGATTACCTTTAAACAGCACAGTTGTACCACTATCACTATGCCTCACTCATAATCTATTTATTTCATTTTGGTTTAACTGCTATAGTACTGTTTGATTTGAAATTTTAAATCATATTATTTTACACCAAAAAAAAATCTAAGATTTTACATTAGCCAAAATTACTTCAATTGTTATACTTTTTGCATGCTGAGAAACACAAATTAACAGAATGTGGTTTTGGTGTTAAAAGTGCTAATTTGTTACCTGTCACCATTTAAAGTAGATGATATTTTGCCACCCTGTTTTAATGACACTTGTTCCCTTTTTGATACATCACCACAAATCATAAGACGTGAAAGGGGCCCGCATCTCTCCTTTACTGCAGAGGAGCCTTGGGGATAAGTGCTCAATAAACATGGGTTTGTTGGTAGTGGAAATGATGGTGGCAGTGGTGGGGTGGGGGACTGAAATAATCTGTGGAATTATTTTTAAATTCTAGAGTGCTATAAGGACATTAGCTACCAGTATTATACTCAGATATCAATCCCCTCTTGCTCTGTAGTTAGAGATGAACATTAAATAATATTAGTATTTGCAATAGTATATGAAAATATGCAAAGAGAAAAATTTGTAAAATTTCAAATGTCTAAACCCAATTAAGCATTTTTCCCCAGAATACTATGTTTCTTCAGCTTTTCCCCCTGTGCCTCTCTCACTGCCAATTTTGCATCCCAGGATGGCGTAAGATTGGGAGTAATAGCAAATGGATGCAGAAAGAGAGGCACAGATGGACAGTAGGAACAGTTGAAAGTGAACCCGCCTGCTCTAGAGTGCTGTTCCCAGGCAATGGGTGGCAAGGCATTCTGGTATGTGTGTAGATGTTCCAGTCCAATGCTGTGGTTCTACTTTTGAGGTCAGTGTCGGTTATTTCTCAATCCCATTCCATCAATGCTGTGGCAAGACAAAACCCCTTCCAGAGACCTCCAAATTATTCATGAAAAGTCATTCCTTCCAGGCTGTTGCAACTTTATGTCTTATTCTGCATTTGGGAGTATTTTGATGAGAGAGAGGGTGGTTAAATCAAGCACTACTGGAAAGCCACCATCATAACCCAGAAACTCCTCATTCTCAACCATTAAGAACCCTGCCCAGCCTTCCCTTGGTTTTAATCCCGCTGATGACATGGATTTGGTGTTTCTGGTTAGCCTGATGGTAAAAGCTCTTGTAGGAAGTCTGTTTTTTTTATTTTGCCACCAACTCTCTTCCAAACCAGATGCATTAATATAAGAGGTGACTGGTGAAGCTGTTTCCAGTCATGCAATTTCTCCAGAGCTCATCCATTCAGTCAGAAAATCTTGGTGCAAACCTACCATGTTCCAGGCCCTAGGTTGACCCTGAGATTCAAAGATAATTAGCACATCCATCCACACTTCTTCTAATGCCATGGAAGCCTTATCTTGTTTATGGCCTCTGTCTTATTCTGTATTTTAATGATGAACAGCTGGTCAACGTCATCTATATGATAATTCATCATTCAATCATTTATTTTTTTGCACAAAAATTTGTCCCTAGATAATCCTCAATGATGGATTTCTATTGGAATTCAGTTCAATATCCAGATGTGTAAGTATGTTTAGGAGAGTCACCAGACCCTTGGAACCAAACTTGTTTTAACTTGATTCAACTACAAAGACCTTTCTGAGACCCCGCTTAAGTTTAATATTGCTTTCCTGAGGCTTGTCTGTTCTCTAGTGCCTCTTATCATAGGTTCTTCCAAGCCACCTGTTATAGTTGACCCAGTTTCACTACCCAAGAACTGGAGAGTCATTTCCTGTTGTAAGTACTGGAAGAGATTTTAAGAAGATGATACAGAGCAGCTGTTTTCTCAAGCCACAGAAAGTAGAACAAAAGAAAGAGCCCTGGCCAGGAATGAAGAGACTTGGGTTCTTGTCTATGCAGACTCCACCTTGCTAAGTGGCTATCAGGAAGCTTCTTAAGTCTGGACCCATCACTATGTTCTCCCTCCAAACCTCACACCCAATCCTTCACCCAATCCTACCCCTTTTTCAGAGTTTTCTTTTCCAAGGTTTTTACTCAAGCTTTATGAAGGATTATAGGATCTAATTTCCACTGTGATGTTATTTTATGACCATGTGAGCCATTATTAGAAGTCAGTAGTTCTAGAAGGGACTTGAACAAATGCTCCATTTATACTTTCTTGCTCTAACAACATTTTCATTTCCTGAGCACTTATGCTGACTCCAGCCCTTTGCTGGGGACCAGAAAGACAAAGATGAAATAAGATTGGCCATCAATACTAAAGGGAGCTCTGGGAGTTCAGAGGGAAACCTAACCCATCCTGAGGGAAACAAGATAAACTTGGTAAGAGATAGCATTGCCTTAGCTGGCTCTGGAAAGGAGAGTGTGGATCATCTAGAAAGAAATAAGTGCTAAGCACAGGGAGCCATGAGCAACTGCACGGAGTTGTGAGTGGCATAACTAGGAACTTACCAGAAGTGTGAAGTTACTAGAAGAAAAACTTGGGAGGCTGGGACAGTCAGATGAGGATGACTAAGAGAAACAGAGTCGCGTTTCAAAGGCCTTGCAAGCCAAAAATGAGATCATTCCTCAGCCACAACCTTTTAATGGCTTCCTCTGCACCCAAATTAAGATCCAAATTCCAATTAATACTGAAAACATTGGACTGCTGCCTGCATTTCTTTCTTTTATCAGGTCTCTCAGAGGTTCTTTAGGGAAGTACAAATTATTCTGACTGTAGAGAAGCTTTATCTCCTCTATTTTTAGAGTATATGGAAATTATATGTAAGTACATTATTATTATTTCAGGCATATAAAAAGTATCAACAACAGTATAATAAGCATCTGCATAACTCTCACTTGTATTAAGGATTAAAATATTACAGATATACTTGATGTCGTCCTCCCTAATCTCATTCCCTTCCCTGCATCCCAGAGGAAACCACTGTCCTGAAGTTTATGTCATTCTCTTTCATATTTTTATATTTCTATCACATATGTATTTATAAAACAGTAATACTACTTTTGTGGGTTTTTAAACTTTAGCAAATAGCCTTGATTCTCCTAATGACTTGCTTCCTTCACTCAACATAGTTTTTGAGACTTACCCAATTGATATATGCAATCGAATTTCATTCATTCTAATGATGTATAGTATCATGAATACAGAAATACACAATTTATTTTAGCCATTCTCATAGGGATGAACATTTAGGTTATTTTCAAACCAAGCCTTGATTCTCCTAATGACTTGCTTCCTTCACTCAACATAGTTTTTGAGACTTACCCAATTGATATATGCAATCGAATTTCATTCATTCTAATGATGTATAGTATCATGAATACAGAAATACACAATTTATTTTAGCCATTCTCATAGGGATGAACATTTAGGTTATTTTCAAACCAGTCATGGTGGTGTGCACATGGAGTCCCAGGTACTTAGGAGGCCAAGGCAGGAGGATCACTTTACCCCAGGAGTTCAAGTCCAGCCTGGACAACATAGTGAGACCCCTGTCTCTAAAAATAAAAAATAGCTTATTTCCAATGTCTTTCTATTATAAACAAGGCTGCTATTTTTCTCTATTTCTCTATGCATGTATGCAAGATTTCTCTGAGAAATGTACCTAAGAGTGAGGTCCCTGGTGATAAGATCTATACATCTTCAACTTCACTAGCTGTCTTTGTTAGGACTGCTGTAACAACTTACCATTGGGTAGCTTAAACAACAAATATTTATTCCTCACATTCTGGAGGCTGGAAGTCCAAGGTCAGGGTGCCAGCAAGATCAGGTTCTAGCGAGGGCTCTCTTATAGGTTACAGATTGCCAGCTTCTCCTTGTGTCCTCACATGATGGAAAGAGAGCCAGTTAGGTTTCTGGCTTCTTTTATAAGGACACTAATCCCAATCATGAAGGCTCTACCCTCATGACCTAATCACCTCCCAAAGGCTCCAAATACCACCATACTGAGGATTAGATTTCAACACATGAATTTGGAAGGGGACACAGACATTCAGTCCATTGCAGTAGCTATTGCCAAAGTTCTCTCCAAAGTGATTTTACCAATTTAAACTCCTGTAGCAGTGTATGAGAATTCCTATGACTCCATATTCTTGTTACTACTTATTGTCAGATTTTTAAATGTTTACCAGTTTTATCCTGGGGATATGAAATGGCATCTCATCATAGTTTTAATTTGCATTTCTTCAATTACTAATAAGGCTGAGCATCTTTTCTTTCTTTTTTTTCTTTTCTTTTCTTTTTTCAGACAGAATCTCTCTCTGTTGCCCAGGCTGGAGTGCAGTGGCATAATCTCAGCTCACTGGAGCCTCTGCTCCCCAGGCTCAAACAATCCTCTTACCTAAGCCTCCTGAGTGACTGGGACTACAAGCACATGACACCACACTCAGATAATTTTTGATTTTTAAAAATTTTTTGTAGAGAAAAGTTCTCAGTATATTGCCCAGGCTGGTCTCAGATTCCTAGGCTCAAGCTGTCCTCCTGCCCTGGCCTCCCAAAGTTCTGAGATTACAGGCATGAGCCACCGAGCTTGGCCATCTTTTCATTTTCATTGGATATCTGTGAACTGTATGTTTAACACCCTTGGCTGAGTTTTCCTTGGGGCTAGTTGTGTCTTTCTTAGTGATTTATGGGAGTTCTATACATCTCAAGGCTAAAAATCCTTTTGCATTGCACATATTAAAAAGAGCTGGAAAGGTCACACCGGTAATCCCAGCACTGTGGGAGGCCAAGACAGGTGGGTTACTTGAGGCCAGAAGTTTGAGACCAGCCTGGCCAACATGGCAAAACCCCATCTCTACTAAAAATACAAAAAAATTAGCTGGGTGTGGTGGCGCGTGCCTGTAATCCTAGCTACTCAGGAAGCTGAGGCACAAAAATCACTTGAACCCAGAAGGTAGAGGTTGCAGTGAGTCAATATCGTGCCACTGCACTCCTGGCTGAGGAACGGAGCAAGACCCCCATCTCAAAAAAACAAACAAACAAAAAGAGCTGGAAAGAAGGCCTGAAGGCCACTCAAAGCTGCATGGCGGGTCTGTAGGCTGCCCCTACCATTGTTGCCGTTTGGATGATTTGGGCAATTTTTGAGCCTCTCTGAGCCTCAGACTCCTCATTTGCAAAACTGTAATAATAATAGTTGCCCCAAGGGCTATCATGGGAATTAAATGAAATAATGTATGTAAGCCACTTCATATATAAGAATTTGGTAATAGTAAAATACCAAGAATGACAGCTGACATTTATTGAAGCCTTCTTTATTGGACTAGACAAAAAGCCACAAATGAAGAATGTAAGCCTTGGCTTACACTCCAAAGCCCAGGCTCTTAACCAGGAAAATAAATGGTCGCTATTATTATTGTCCTAATGGAGCAAACAGCTAGCTGGGCATCCAGACACAGTTCCTATAGCTGACTGTGCCTCCAACTACCCATGTGACCTTGTGCAATTCACACCACTTCCCTGAGCCACAGACATTCATTTGCACATTCCTTCGATAAACTCTCTGCCTCTACTGTCTTATACTAAATTGTTGGTGCTGTAGAAATGAGGACGTTTGGGAGCTTCAATTTCTTCACTTTCACAATGGAGATTAAATATCTACTCAGTTCTAGGGCTGCTATCACAAAGCACCACAAACTGGGGGACTTGAAACAAGAGAAATGTATTGTCTCACAGTCCTAGAGGCTAGAAGTCTAAAATCAGGGTGTCTACAGCACCATGTTCCCTCTGAAACCTGTAGGAGAGAATACATCTTTGCCCCTTCCTAGCTTCTGGTGGTGGCCAGCAATCCCTGGTCTTCCCTGGCTTCTAGCCGCAGTGCTCCAGTCTCTGCCACTGTGTCTCATGGCCTTCTCCCTCTGTGGCTGTGTCTCCATGGGTCTTTTTATAAAAACCCTACACTGGATTAAGGGCCCACCCTACTCCAGTATGACCTCATCTTAACTAACACCTCCGCAATGACACTACTTCTAAATAAGGTCACATCCTGAGGTACCTGAGATTGGAACTTCGATATATTTTTTGAGGAACACAATTCAGCCCCAAACAATGTCCTAGATGGGAACCCTGCATAGGACAGGCCTTCAGGGCCCAAGGTCAACCTGGCATGATCTTCTGTGGCATCCCTGGAGCTCTGGCCTTCTGGCTCCACAGAAAATGGAAGCCCAAGTCCCAAGAGAAGGGCCGTCATATTTCCCAAAGCAGGGTTTTCTTTGATGCAATCTTACAGATTAAGTCCAGCTAGCAATGGGATATCTTTGATAAAATGGAGGGGAAAGAGGCCATCCTACCCTTTGATCCTGAGAGATTAGGTAAGCAGAGTTTCAAGAATGTTGTACTAGATTAGTGTTCCCTTTTCAGAAAATACAGTCCAATTCTAAAAGTTATGATAGGCAATAATTTGTCTCTTAAAAAAAATAGTTCCAAGGATACAGGAAGGGAAGGAAGCCAGCATTTTTATTTAGAGGCTCCTCTGTGCCAAGCCACATGTGGAATGGTTTTACAAACATCATCCCTTTCAACCCTTGGACAATTCTTTGATAATTAACCCCCATTTGACAGATAAGGAAGCAGGCTCAGAGAAGTTAACTGAATTTTCCCCAAGTCCCAAAGCTAAAAAGATGGTGGTATGAGGAGTTAAACCCAGTTTTGTCTGACAATCAAGTTTATCATCTTTCCACTCTGCTAAGTTGCCTCTTTATTATCTTATATTAGATCATGTTATGTGAAAACTTGAACCAGTTTACCTGGCAGGGAGTAGTCGAAATACATATATATCCTTCCCTCTTGCAGAGAATGTTCTGGAATGAATGAATGAATGAGTGACAATGGATGAACATACAGCACCCTCTGATTCTCCTGTCCTCATGTAAACTCTTCCTTCTCTGAATTCCCAGTACTTTGTTCTTCCCACTTAAATGGGACTTACTCCCCTCCCCACCCTCTACCCTCACCCCTTAGCTCATTCCTCAGAGAAGGGATGAGGTCTAACTCATCTTTCATCCCATTTCACCCCAGCCCCCTTCACTGGGCTGATACACACTAGATGCCCAATATCTGTTTGCAAAGCATGAATAAGCAAAAACTCCAATAAAACACATAGCTCAGTATTGGTTAAAGAGATAGGTTTAACCTGACAGCATCCCTAGGAAATGTAGAAAAAAACCTGAGCTGGGACTAAGAAAGAGGCTCCAGACTTGTGCTGTTAACAAATTTGTTATGCAAACTTAGGCTACTCTTGGACCTCTCTTGCCCCATACATCAAATGAGGGGCTTGAACTAATGATTTTGAGAGCTATTCTAATCCATCAGTCTAGGTCTTGGTGTCTCCAAATGTCAGAAGGGGTCATGGGCTACAAGACATCCAGATGCCAATAGGGATCATGCTGTCCAAAGCTGAGGAATCCTCTCCCAGTTTCCAGTTTTAGTATGTGGGCACCTTGCAAATGGCCTGTTGCAAGTTCCAGGCAAGAACGTCCCAAAGACAGCTGAAATGAAGAACCAAGATCTTTCAGCAGAAGGTTCATTGTATGCAAGCCTTCCTGGGGCCGAAAAGAATGCCAGAACCTTGTTCAAGGGTCTATTCCTTGAAACAAACAGAATTTCTACTCTCTATCCCTTCCAACAAGAAACCATAATGATGATAGTTAGCACTTATTGTGCACAAATGATTTGTCCTGCATTGTGTAAGCCCTTCATGGGCATTATCAAAGTTGATTCTCATGTGAGGCATATCTGAATTGTAATTTATATATAGAAATATAAATTGTTATTATTATGCATATTTTATTCCCCATTTTACAAATCAAGAAACTGGGGAACCAAAGATTGAGGGACATTTCTAAGATTATCTAGGTATCTCTATACTTCAAAGTCTAGTTTTTATTTTTACTTTTTAATATGAAATACATTCACATGGTACAAAATCCAAAAGGTACAAGGATGTGTGCAGTATGTTTCTCCTATGCCTGGTCTCCCAGCATCTGCTCTCCCAGCATCTGCTCTCTTTATGGGAAAGGCAAAAGATATTACCAATCATTTGCCTATCTTTCAAGAGGTCTTCTTCACTAAGAGAAACCAGTGGTCGTGTGTACCCATCAGCTGCACACTACAATGTTCTGCACCTTTATTTTTCTGGTTAACAATATCACTAGGCAATCATTCCATATCAGTGCATAAATATCTGCCTCATTCTTTGCATGGGTAGATAATAATCCACCATCTGAAAGTGTCATGATTTATTTTAAAGAACACAAATGAGTCCCAAGCTTTTAAGCACTGGGATTTACACGGAAGTACTAAGAAGCAGGAACATCCTGTCCTCAAGCCCGGGGTCACTAAGTTCTTCTGATCAACTGGCCCTCTATGAGATCTTTACACAAAACTTTCAGTCTGATTGAAGACTAAATTAAACAATTAAGGTTAAGCACTGTGTGCTTGGCACATCGTAAATGCTCAGTTATTATGCTAATATCAGCAGGTATCTTACTATGTGGACCAAGACAATTGGAATACTAGAGAGTAGCAGAAGAAAGAATCTGCCTTCTTCTCCAAGGTCTGTGGAGTGATGGAAAGAATAAAACAGACCTGTGTTCAAAACCAGCTCTGCTACTCACTGTGTATTAACACACATATGTCTTAACACAGCACTTCCACTCTCTGAGTTTGGGATAGGCAAATGGCTGCCAGCTTGCAACTACATATCCCCCACTCCTTTGCAGCTAGGTGTGGCTATGTTCTTACCAATAAACTATACATGGAAATTGCTTCCCCTCCACTTCCTCTCCTTCCACCTTCCTATGGACTGGAATTCTTATGTGGTGCTAATGAAACACCTTCAACCAGATGGAGGAGGTAACAGTCTAAAGAAAGAGCAAAACTAGTAAGAACTTGGATACCTGAGTAACTCATAGGACAGAGTTACACATCAAATCTACTTCATCCACATGGCTCTAGAGTAGACTGTTACATGACAGTGCTGTCCACATTGATCTTGTTTTAGAAATGGGATTTTGAGGGGCCGGGCGTGGTGGCTCATGCCTGTAATCCCAGCACTTTGGGAGGCCAAGGTGGGCGGATCACAAGGTCAGGAGTTCAACGCCAGCAGTACCAATATGGTGAAACCCCGTCTCTACTAAAAAATACAAAAACTAGCCAGGCGTAGTGGCGCACACCTGTGATCCCAGCTACTCAGGAGGCTGAGGCAGGAGAATCTCTCAAACCCAGGAGTCAGAGGTTGCAGTGAGCCAAGATCACGCCATTGCACTCCAGCTTGGGTGACAGAGCAAGACTCTGTCTCAAAAAAAAAAAAAAGAAAGAAAAGAAAAGGGATTTTGAGGTTTCTGTTGGAGCATCTTAACTTTTACCCTAACTAATGGTGTGACCTTGAACAAATTACTTGACATCCCTAAGCCTCAATAGCCACATCTCTAAATTCCCCATAAAGAGAAGGCAAACAGAACACCTAACATAGTACTTGACACGTCGTAAAAGCTCGTTAAATGGTTATCTGGGCCTTGGTTTTCTCATCTGTAAAATGGGTATATTAATCATTTCTTTGTGAAACTCAAATGAGACAGAGGACCATACCGTTTACATAGTCAGGACCCAGCTGCCAGCAACCTGAGATATAGTGTATTTTGCACAGATGAGAGGTAGAGGTTTAATCTTCTTTTTTTCCAGGTGAGTTTGGGTAAGTGCCCTGTTTTTGATTCAATGTAGGAGTGCATCTGGATTAGGGAAAAGGGAACCTCCACCTCTGCAGGGCCAAGGAAGTCAAGGCCATGGAGGAGGAAGCCTGCCTAAGGTCCCTGACCACACAACGCCTGCTAACCTGAGCATGAGTGAACCAGAGGCATGTGGTCCCATCATCTTTTTTGTGCATATGATTTTAAAGATTAATGAGAGAGGCAGAAAGTAGTAAAAGAGAATTGAATTCTCACAATCACCCTCCATTCATTTCACTCAAATGAAAGGGTTTAAAGGCCAGTTTTTAGAGCTTTTGTGAGCTAGAAATCCCAATGTTTATTAGGTGCCTAACATGTTCCAGGTTGAGTACTTGATGCCTTAGGGATGCTCTCTCCACTGATGCTCACTGCAGCCCCAGGCAGGATGTACACCCTTCACTCCTAGACAAAGGAAGAATTTGAAGATCAAAGCATTGAAGTACCATGCTTTGTCCGAGGTCACACAGTTAGTCTGTAGCTGATCAGAATTTGAATACAGATCTGTCTGTATCCAAAACCTACGCTCATTGTTTGAGTGTCCAAAACCTACACTCACTGAGTCTACAGTTCTAATATTTATTGAATACCTATTATGTTCCCAGCAAGGACAAAGTGCCATGGGGAATAGCAAGACAAATCAGACATGGATGTTCTATTTTCTGGGTAATATCAAGATGCTTTATCTCACAGAAAGGAATGGAAAGGGTGTCAGAACTAGAGTCAGCAAGCATGGGTTGCTTTGCTTCTAACTACCTCTGTGTCCTTTTGCACATTTCTAGCTTCTCCAAGTTTTTTCTTTCTTACCTATAAAATCAAAATAATGCCTCTATCCACAGCAACCTCCAAAGTCACTAGGAAGATCAAATAAATGAAATAACAGGTGTACTGATGATGTGCTAACTATGATGCACTGGACAAAGATGCTTTAGGATATTCTGGGAACTTTGCTGTGCTGTCACAAATGTTTCATTAATGTCCGCAGAGACAGTGAGCCAAGCATATTTGCTCCCTTGGGGACAAAGGGAGTCAACTAGTGCCTCTTGATAATGTTCCCAGAATGAGAAATCCCAGAAGTTCACATGCATGAGTATGGGACCCTCTGAAATTTTTCCCAGCCAGTGCCAAGCAGCAGATGTCAACAGCTTTGTGGCCTTTCACAAACGCTGTCAGCAACAACAACCCTTCACGTGAGGATGGCACTTTAGAGTTTACAGAGTAGTTTCGCAGCTGGAAATCCTTTGGACTTCCTTGGAACCCAGCAAATTAGGCAAGACAATTTGCATATGACGAAGTTGAGGTGTCAAGGCTCCAAGATGTGCCACAACTTGTCCAGAGACTTACAGTTACTAACGAGCAGGGTCTATGCTATACAACTCATACGTCCAGCCTATATCTGGGTCCAAAGTTCTTTGCATTTCCCCATTAAACACCACCTGCAACAAAGGAAATTATACTGCCCCTTTTGGGGCCCAGGTTACAACGCATCATGCTGAAACCTGCTCATTCATTCATTCATTCAATAAATGCTCACTGAGAATCTGCTCTCTGCCAGATCCTGTGCTGGGCCTCACAGAAAACAAGAAGCCAGATGCAGAGCCTGCTCCCAACGGACTCACAGTCGGCTGGGTCACAGAACCAAGTGGTGAGGGATGACTAAGCCAGGACTTCACCTAAGCACTCTCTCATTCTCACCACACTGCAAAGTGCATGTTTTTCTCTAAATATAATGATGGGCCAAGGAAGCTCAGAGACACTGAGCATCTGGCTCAAAGTCAATCAGCCAGTAAATAACACAGCTGGGATTAGATTACAAGTCTGTTAGATGTCAAGCTCAGGCCCTTTCCCCAAGAAAACACAGGACTCCTCAAAATATCTTCAATACATTATATCCAGGATAGAATTGTAAGTGCCACGGCACCCATTTGGCTTCATTACATGATTTCAAGTGACCAATTCAACTAATTTATTTTTCCTTTTGATTTCTTTTTTTTTTTTTTTTTTTGAGTCAGAGTCTTGCACTGTCACCCAAGCTGGAACGTAGTGGTGCGATCTCAGCTCACTGCAACCTCCACCTGCCGGGTTCAAACAATTTTCATGTCTCAGACTCCTGAGTAGATGAGGGAGCTGAGGACAAGAAAGCACAAAGATCTTGCCCAACATCACACAGCAGTTCAGTATCAGAGCTGGAATATTCAGGCGGAGGGTCAGATTTTAAAGCTTCAGTTATTTACACCTCGCTGGGTTCTGGGTCCCTAGCCATGGGCTTGGCAATTTCACATTCAGAATATCATCTGCTTGAGACAGGGACAAGTTACAGTTTATCTTTGTGTCACCAATGCCAGACATGTAGAAAAATGTCCTCAATGAATGTGTGATAGTTTGATGGATGAAACAACAGTAATTATCCCCAATATAAAGAAGAAACTGAGGTCCAAATAGATTACAGTATCTGTCCGAGGTTACATGGCTCACAAATGACCATGCCAAGATTCAAACCTGGTCATTCTGGCTCTGAGGGCCATTATGGGTCTGCCAGCAGGAGGACCTATAAAAGGCATCAGATCCATAGCAACATTGAAAACAGTCACAGTACCCATTCTTAAATAAGCTCTCTTTGTTGTGTCCTCTTAGTGCTAGAAAGAGCCCTGGAGGTGGAGGTTTTGCAGGGGAACCAGGTAAGTACACTCAGCTGGAGGCCATGACTAGTGTGTAGGGGAAAGGAAGACCCATCCCAACAACGCCCACCTTGCAGAGAGGCCTCAGGCCCAGATGGCCAAACTAGTCACACATGTTTGGAAGTCAGTGAGCAGCTTTGCTGGGGGCCAGGAGAATGATCTGTTCTGGGGGTTCTGCCAGACCTGGGGATGAGGCCGCCAGAAGGAGACCAGGCCAGGAGAAGGACAGATGGGGCCAAGGCTCTGCCAGAATCCATGCTGGCCCCAGAGAATCAATCCACTAACCAGAACCATGACTTTATTCCAAGCTCAGAGCGTTCTGGCTCCCAGATTAGACCACGAAAAAGTGGTTCCATGTGGCCCTTTAGGCTTGGTCACTTCCCCAACCCCCAGCACTACCCCCCACCTCCAGCCCAGAGTCACAGGGCAGCCATTTCGTGTCAACATGAGGATGTTGCTCTTTATTTTCTTCTCTTTTGAATGTATAAAAATAACTCTGCCTGACCCAAATATCCATGTGAACTCTCAAGAAGCTGGGCTTACACATGTTTGCACGTCAAGCCCAAAGCAATCCCACATGTGGCTGCTGAAAGGAGGTGTCCTCTACGTGGCAAGAGGCTGCCTTCCTCAACCTCAGGGATGCTAATGGAAGGAAGAAGTTAGCACACATGCAACTTCTTCCTAAGCTCTTTTAAATGGGTCTTCTCATTTAATTTGTCATGTTAATTTTGCAGATGAAAAACCTAAGGCTCAGAAAGATGTGTGATTAGTTTAAAGTCATTCTTGCACTCAACAAATGTTATCATTTTCACCAATGTGCCTGGCGTGGATTTTTGCAGAGAAACCTTATTTTTTTCTGCTAGATAAAACGATTCATTAATGGACTTTCTCAGTGTTCCATGAAGTTTCCCAAAGTGCACAAGATAGAAGAGTAATTCAAGGAGAGCTGAAGAGGCATTTGGGAAAAATGAGTTATATGCACAAATTAACCTGGAAATCACCGATTAAGCAACAATTTCTTAGGAAATCGCTAATTAAAGAAACTAAACAACACGGGATTTTCTTGAATACAGAATGTTTCAGAGCTCTTACTTGACTAAAGTATATTTAAGTCTCCCAGAGGAGTTATCAAGTATAGTCTCTCCCACTGCAATATTTTCCCAAATGTATGATGGAGAGTTCTAACAAAAACTTTTTTGGAAGCACTTCTCTAGTATACTGGGTTGAATCATATGAAATTGCCAATTTTTGACTGGTTTTGATCTACAAACCATATGGTTTAACCTAATTAGGTACAATAGGGGTTTTTCATGTATTTTGTACCTCTATTATCACATTTCATAATGTGATGTGACGAATGGGCTATGAATGCCTTGAAAGTTACTTGTTATATAGCCTCGATGTGCTCACAGTTAGGGCTGGGAATAGTCCTGGGCTGTGGTGGTAAAGTTCATGATTGTCCATCTACAACATGGAGCTGCCATGGGAAGCAGCCACCTAACAGAGACTAAGTTTCCCACTCCCTTTATGTCCAGGTGGGTCTGGGGATGAGTGTCCACGATGGAATGTGATTACAAGTGATAGATGTCACTGCCAGATGAAGGCTGGTAAGAATCAGGTGGGCCTCCCCCACCCTCTTGTTTGCCCATCTTCTGGCTAAAAAAAGAGGACTCCAAGGACCGAGAGGTTGGCAGATCCACAAGACGGAAGGGGACACCTTCTTTGATCCACCACTTGCTGGGAAGCTACCTACCAACCAGGAACACCCACATTGAGTTATTAGGTGAGGGAGAAAGGAACTAATTACCTTAAGCCACTGAAATGTGGGCTGGTGGGGTAGGGGGGTGGGGTTTTGTTGTTGTCACAGGAGAAAGCATTATCCTAACTACTACAGTAAAGTTGGGAGCAGACAGTGAGAGTGCACATCCAGGACCCTGAAGATGGCAATAATGTAGAGCAAAAGATGACCAACTTCAACAAAGCCCATACAACAGAAGGATCATGGTGGGGATGGCCAGCCTCTCACATTTGGAAGCCAGTGTAATTTGCAGGAAGTATACTATGAAGCAAGAGCTGTGCTGATTATGAGGGTTATTGATCACAATCCTAATCATTTGGTTGAGATGTCCTTGGCATCTCCCTCTCTTGCCCCCATGTCCAATCAGCCCTCACCAGGTGCTATTGATTCTGCATCCTCTGGTCTCTGCCTCCATCTCCTCCTTAGCACCTCTGCCCTAGACACACTGTCTCCTTCAGGATTCCCTAACACCAGTCTCACACCAATCCCTCCATAGCCCCACAGACAAGGATTGCAAAGGGATTGCCTTAACACTGAAAATCTAACCATACATCTCTCTGTTTAAACCCTTAAACAGCCCCCAGTGTGCCCAGGATAAGGTCCAGATTCCTCAGCCTGGTAGTTGGGACCCTCCAGAGACTGGCCCTTGCCTCCTTCCCCAGCCTTCCCCTTCACAATCAAACCACACCCAACACAGTGTGTGTGGCCAGTCCTCACCACAGCCGTATGCACTTTTGTCTTATGGGCCACTCCCTCCGTAAGAATATTAATATTAAAAATTATTACTAGTATAATTTTAAATCCTTTGAGGTGTTTTTCTATTTTTGGCAAAATTTAATAGATTTCCATAGCCCCTACAAATTCCTTTTCTGATATGAAAAAAAATTAAAATATTTTTCTAAAATACTAAAACATTCCATGTTCAGGGGGCTTTTTTCCTTCTGATTCTGAAAGAAATTAAAATATTGCCTTGGTTGCTGAAAGTCTCATGGGCCCGAGGCACTGTGCCTGCTGTACCTGATGGATGAGTATCCACATGGAATTACTGTGAAGTTCCTCCTCCCTTCTCTAAGTCTGTCCTTATCTGTGATGTCATCCTGCCCCTACCTTGAGGAAGAACAACCACAGTTTATTGTATTTTCTCTCCCCACTATGTCCATGCAACAGGAAGGTTCACAACGTTGGCAAGCATTGGAATCACCAGGGGCTTGTGAGCATGCAGATTCACAGCTCTGCTCCTGAAGGCCAAGATTCTTTAAATCTACAATAGACCTTGGATTAGCTAGACTTTTACAGTCTCCTCAAGGGGTTCTGGGACAGATCACCTTCCCAAATACCTTGAACTTTGCGAGACCCACTTTGGGAAGTCCTGTGTGTGATGCTGGAACATCACAGTGTCCTCTGTAAGAGCAAAGGCCATGCCATGCTCATCTCTGGGTTCTACTGCACAACACTGTGCCTGGTGGCAGCGGGTGCTGAGAAAAGGTTGAATTGAATTGAGCTGAACTAAATGGATGAGAAGTTCTTCTCTCCTCCTATGCTCCACATTTACATCAGGAGGTGATGGTGGAAAGAACAGCAAACATTTCCTCTCTCCTCACCATCCTGGGAAAATTAAAATACAGCAGGTTCTCACCCAAAGGATTGGACAAGTGAGGCTCTGTCTTCTGAGTTGAGCTTATTGAGTGAAGTGGGAAGATGGTGAATTTTAGAGGAGACTAATCTGCGTTTGAGCATTGATTTCACCACCTCCTGTGTAGCTATGATCATGTACCCCCCATGTCTGATCTTCCATTTCTTTACCAATAAAATAGGAACAGTATAATGCCATGTATATAGAATGTGCTCAGTGTTAAGTCTCTTTCTTCTTTTCACATGAATAGAGCAAAGGGTACCAGACTTAGAGGTGTGGGGCCTGACTCTTCTGTTGGGCTGACCACTCACCAGGCACCTGGCATACAGCAGGAGCTCCCTGCACACCTGCCAGACAGGTGAATGCCAGAGCCCTGGCTCCAGGCAAGGTGCTGGCTGTGCTCTCTCTTCCTCTCTTGGGTCCAACTCCAGGAGTGAGAAGGTGGCTGTTCTCTGGAGAATGTACTGCATTTTGCTGCCTCCACCATATAGAGTGAGGACCAGACTCTAGAGGGACAGAAGAGACCCTTCCCCTCTAACCCGCCAACCTCCACCAGATCACTCCAAAAGAAACATTTTTGCCCATCAGAGAAGCAGACAGAGGGTAGCAATGGGCATGCTAGCCCTGGGCCTACCAGCAAACTGACCTCCAAACCAGGCAGGCTAGGCAGTTGATCTTACAGCCCTCTCTGCTGATCTTTGAAAATAAGACAGAAGGGAAAACATTTACCTCCCCAAAGCAAACATCTGCTTTGCAATTTCTGAGGATGGGCCCACAGAGAGAGCTCTCCCCCTGTAAGGGTTCCCAGGAGAAGCCAACAACACCTGGGGCTTGTTCCCATGAAGGAAGGGCCGAGTTCCCAGAGATGTCCCCAGCCATGCCTCCCTCAGGATGATGCTGAGGCCATCTTTACACACCTGCTCTTCCTTTTCTGGGTCTGGGACAAATCCATCTCTGAGGGGGCTCATCTCATCACTGATCTCATTTTATGAAATGAGTATTGTTTTATTTGTTTCAGCCCCAGGGTTCTGAGGTTGCCTCACAGTGGTCCCTTTATTCTACCTACACTCTTCAGCTAAAATAAACTGTGGACAAGGGAAAAGGCAAGAAGTCGTACTCATATTCTCATACAAAAACCTCACAGGAAGGATGGTTGCCAGAGAGAGAGAAAAGATTCCTGATCCACTGAGCATTTTCAAATCATAGAATTATGACATCTAAATGTTCAAAGGAACTGTGAACTTCTACTATTTAACTTGACAACCTCCCAAGATTACCCATTGGAGACCACACTGAAAGATAATTATCCACTAACAATTTACTGTGTATCATAGAAACTGTTGGTTGACTGCCCAATAGCCATTTCCTTCCCACTTTTCTCATGGTGACAGCTATACATACACACACACACACGCACATGCACACACCACAGCTAAAAATACAAGTTTCATGTTTTCCCAGCCTTCCTTACAAGTAGGAGTGGCCGTGTGACTTTGTTCATCTCAATGATATTTAAGAAAAAAAAATACAGGAAGGCTTGTGGGAAAAATGTTCTTCCCTGATAAAAAGAGATAAAGAGAGAGATGATACTCTGGCATCTCTGGCCATCTCTTGGCTTCCTGCCTTTGAAAACTGCCATTCGAGGCTGGGTGTGATGGCTCACAACTATAATCCCAGCACTTTGGGAGGCTGAGGCAGGAGGATCACTTGAGGCTGGAGTTCAAGACCAGCAAGGGCAACAAAGCAAGACCTCATCTCTACAATTATTTTTTCAATTAGCCAAGTGTAGTGGTGTGTGCCTATAGTCACAGCTACTAGGGAGGCTAAAGCAGGAAGATTCCTTGAGAACAGAAATTCGAGGCTGCAGTGAGCTATGGTCATACCACCGTACTTCAGCCTGGTTGACAAAGCAAGACTCTGTCTCTAAAAATTAGACATTTTAGGACTAAAACTAAGGTAGGACTATTTAAATCCCAAGGCAACAAGCCTGAAGACAAAAGCCAGTGCTCTAGGAAAGAGGAACAGAAGGATGGAAAGAGGATGGGTATTTTTTGCCTGTTGAGCCACTGAACCAGCTTAGAACCGCCTACTTCTTAAAGCCACTGTTAGGCAGGTGTCCTATTCCTTACGGTCAAAAGCATCTTAGCTGATGCCTCACACATTATCAAACCCTAGCATAACAACATCTTGGAACATGAAGGGAATGCAGAGGGAGTAGTAATTCCAGGGTTAAAAGTAGAAAATAAACCTTTACAAAAACTGGAAAATACATGTGAATGTTTAATATTATCAAAATATTCCCTTGTGAATGCCTCTGTTTATAAAACAGAAATGGTAATATCTACTGTATGGTAGGTATTCTAAGGATTAGATGATTTAATACATGCAAAGTAAAGTTAAAAGTGCCAGGCACATAGCAAGTACTATCTAATTATAGCTCTCATATTAATCAGTAAAAAAAATAACATTCTTTAATAAATAATATGAGTTTGGGCAGGGCACTAGACTTGGAATCAGAAAACCTGGCTTCTAGACAGTTACTTCTCTTTGATCACATATCAATTTTTGTGGCTGTTTTAGGACAATGAAATCCCAGTACAATATATTCCCTGTGTCAAAGAGTGTTGAAAGTTTGATGAATCAGATGAATTTTGAGTTATCGTATGTTGCCAATTCAGTAATGAAATAAATGTATCATTGGAAGTCTTTAAAAGCTTAAAAAAACTTGTAAATAAAATGGAACATTTTGGTTATGCAACTATGTAAGCATGTGGATGTTTTTAAATAATTTCATGTGAAATTAGTTTTCTTCTTCTGAAACAATAGCTATACAATAATAAGTCTAAGAAGAAAAGCAGAGTGGAATAAGATAAACAGGGAGCTAGAGAGCATGTGGTCTAGTTTTAGTCCCTCCACTAACCTAGTGATATGCCTCAGGCAAGTCCTTTCCTAAGCCCAAGTCTTCTCATTTGTGAATTGAGGGAAAGAGCCTGGAGTTAGGAAAGGACAACAGTCTTTACCCCAGCTCCACTCCTTGGTGTGTGACCTGATAAAGGTCACTTACTTTCTCTGAGCTCCATTGATATGGTTTGGCTGTGTCCCCACCCAAATCTCACCTTGAATTATAGTTCTTATAATCCCCACGTGTCATGGGAGGGACCCAGTGGGTGGTAATTGAATCATGGGGCAGTTACCTCCAAGCTGTTCTCGTGATAGTGAGTTCTCATGAGATCTGATGGTTTTATAATGGGGCTTTTCCCACCTTTTTTCTCAGCACTTCTCCTTCCTGTCATCATGTGAAGATGGATGTGTTTGCTTCCCCTTCTGCCATGACTGTAAGTTTCCTGAGGCCTCTGCAGCCCTGCAGAACTGTGATTCAATTAAACCTCTTTCCCTTATAAATTACCCAGTCTTGGGCAGTTTTTATAGTAGCGTGATAATGGACTAATACACCCATGTCTAAAATGGGGATGAAAAAAACAGTGACCTCATTGGAAAACTCTGAAGGTCAAATGTCAGGACATATGAAAAAATTCCTGGCACAGAATAGACCCTTAATAAATGTTGTCCATCCTGTTTCCAATATTCTACAGGTCTGTGTAAGGCATGACCTGGAAAATGCAAGGTACCAAAAGAGAAAACGTGTTCTTTGTCTCACAAGACCATGCCCAGAAAGGATGGCTTGGGCCCCACTGGAAGGCCAGCATTCCTGGGCAACCTTTAGCATGGGGGACATTTATTAGATTCAGAAAACAAAGACAGTTCATAAGGATTCCAGTGTAAGGAATGTTGGGGAATAAATATGGGGAGGGGCAAGCTCTGAGAAGCAGACTTCTACAGGACATCTTCAGTGCCTGAGTGTTTATCATCAGAGTTTCCACCGTTAGGAGGTCAGGTAGGAAGCAAAGTCATGAAAACATTCACTAATGTACCTACTGTATTAGTCTGTTTTCATGCTGCTGATAAAGACATACCCGAGACTGGGAAGAAAAAGAGGTTTAATTGGACTTACAGTTCCACATGGCTGGGGAGGCCTCAGAATTATGGCAGGAGGTGAAAAGCACTTCTAACCTGGTGGCAGCAAGAGAAAATGAGGAAGATGCAAAAGCGGAAACCCCTGATAAAACCATCCAGTCTCGTGAGACTTATTCACTACCATGAGAACAGTATGGGGGAAACCACCTCTATGATTCAAATTATCTCCCACCAGGTCCCTCCCACAACCCATGGGAATTATGGGAGTACAATTCAAGATGAGATTTGGGTGGGGACACAGCCAAACCATATCATCCCACCCCTGGCTCCTCCAAATCTCATGTCCTCACATTTCAAAACCAGTCATGCCTTCCCAACAGTCCCTCAGAGTCTTAACTCATTTTAGCACTAACCCAAAAGTCCACAGTCCAGTCAGTCATGGTGGCTCATGCCTGTAATCCTAGCACTTTGGGAGGCCCAGGTGGGCAGATCACTTGTGGTCAGGAGTTCAAGACCAGCCTGGCCAACATGGTGAAACCCCGTCTCTACTAAAAATACAAAAATTAGTCAGGTATGGTGATATGTGCCTGTAGTTCCAGCTACTCGGGAGGCTGAGGCAGGATAATCAGATGAACCTGAGAGACGGAGGTTGCAGTGAGCCAAGATCACATCACTGCACTTCTGCCTGGGTGACAGAGCAAGATTCCATCTCAAAAAACAAACAAAACAAAAGTCCACAGTGCAAAGTCTCATCTGAGACAAGGCAAGTCCCTTCCACCTGTGAGCCTGTAAAATCAAAAGCAAGCTAGTTACTTCCTAGATACAATGGGGGTACAAGTATTGGGTAAATATAGCCCTCCCAAATGGGAGAAATTGGCCAAAACAAAGTGGTACAGGGCCCATGCAAGTCTGAAATCCAGTGAGGCAGTCAAATTTTAAAGCTTCAAAATGATCTCCTTTGACACCAGGTCTCACATCCAGGTCATGCTGATGCAAGAGGTAGGTTCCCATAGTCTTGGGCAGTTCCACCCCTGTGGCTTTGCAGGGTACAGCCTCCCTCCTGGCTGCTTTCATGGGCTGGCGTTGAGTGTCTGTGGCTTTTCCAGGTGAATGGTGCAAGCTGTCAGTGGATCTATCATTCTGGGGTCTGGAGGACAGTGGCCCCCTTCTCACAGCTCCACTAGGTGGTGCCCCAGTAGGGACTCTGTGGTGGGGCTCTGACCCCACATTTTCCTTCTGCACTGCCCTAGCAGAGGTTCTCCATGAGGGTCCCACACCTGCAGCAAACTTTTGCCTGGGCATCCAGGCGTTTCCATACATCTTCTGAAATCTAGGCAGAGGTTCCCAAACCTCAGTTCTTGACTTCTGTGCACCCACAGGCTCAACATCACGTGGAAGCTGCCAAGGCTTGGGTCTTGCACCCTCTGAAGCCACAGCCCAACCTCTACCTTGGCCCCTTTCAGCCATAGCTGGAGCAGCTGGGACACAGGGCACCAAGTCCCTGTGCTGCACACGGCACAGGAACCCTGGGCCTGGCCCATGAAACCACTTTTTACTCCTGGGCCTGCAGGCTTGTGATGGGAGGGGCAGCCATGAAGTTCCCTGACATGGCCTGTAGACATTTCCCCGATGGTCTTGGGGATTAACATTAGGCTCCTTGCTACTTAGGCAAATTTCTGCAATAGGCTTGAGTTTCTCCCCAGAAAATGGGTTTTTCTTTTCTATTGCATAGTCAGGCTGCAAATTTTCCAAATTTTTATGCTCTGCTTCCCTTATAAAACTGAATGCCTTTAACAGCACCAAAGTCACATCTCAAATGCTTTGCTGCTTAGGAAATCCTTCTTCCAGATACCTTAAATCATCTCTCTCAAGTTCAAGTTTCCACAAATCTCTAGGGCAGGGGCAAAATGCCACCAATCTCTTTGCTAAAACATAACAATAGTCACCTTTGCTCCAGTTCCCAACAAGTTCCTCATCTCCATCTGAGACCACCTCAGCCTGGATTTTATTGTCCATATTGCTATCAGCATTTTGGGCAAAGCCATTCAACAAGTCTCTAGGAAGTTCCAAACTTTCCCACATTTTCCTGTCTTCTTCTGAGCCCTTCAAACTATCCCAATCTCTGCCTGTTACCCAGTTCCAAAGTTGATTCCACATTTTCAGGTATCTTTTCAGCAACGCCCCACTCTACTGGTACCAATTTACTGTATTAGTCCATTTTCATGCTGCTGATAAAGACATACCTGAGACTGGGAAGAAAAAGAGGTTTAATTGGACTTACAGTTCCACATGGCTGGGGAGGCCCCAGAATCACAGTGGGAGGCAAAAGGCACTTCTTACATGGTGGCAGCAAGAGAAAATGAGGAAGACGCAAAAGTTGAAACCCCTGATAAAACCATCAGATCTCATGAAACTTACTCACTACCATGAGAACAGTATGGGGGAAACCACCCCCATGATTCAAATTATCTCCCTCTGGGTCCCTCTCACAACATGTGGGAATTATAGGAGTCCAATTCAAGTTGAGATTTGGGTGGAGACACAGAGCCAAACCATATCACCTACCATTTATAAAAATTAATCCCCATTCAAAGAGTACTACCCACCCCCCCCCCCGCCAACAACACACACACACACACACACACACATAAACACACGCTGTTTGACACTGATGATTATGACCCACAAAGAAGTGTCTGGGATGGTGGAAGTCTCCTTCATAGCCAAATGTACCACTTCTATAATATAAGGAATATAAAATGCAAATGGTCCACAAAATAATACTGCAATTTACCAAAGATGCAGGATGTCATGAAGTCAAGGAAAGTAACAGGGAAGAACTGCATAAATCACAAGCAAAATCACCAATAAGTGATAATCTGGCAGAGTTAGACACATTTGGCAGATCACAGATGGCAGAATTAGACACATTAGCCATTGAAGAAAATCAAAAAGGATAATGGCATGATAGGTGCTTCAGAGGAAAATATTTCTGATATAAACAAAGCTAAAGGAAAAATTAATAAGACTTTTATTATATTTACAAAATTACTCTGTTGTTGACCACGCTGCAAAGGTCAAAGGTAAAGAATGCATTTTTGCTAGCATACAATGTTATCAGGATAACTACACTGAAGAAACAAACAATTGATTCATTCTTGGTTCATCATAAGCATTCACATATAATTGCAACGCAACTCAATTGTATTAAATAAACATGACAATTTTTTGTTCCATTTTCTAAATAATTTCCCACCAAATCTTGGCCTTTTTATGATTCTCTATGAAACCATTGTCCTCATTTTAAGTTTATTCATCTTCAGTAACACGTTTTGGGCATGAGGACGTCTTTTCCTGTTTTATATGGTCAGACAAAAAAATAACCAACTTCATTCATCATTGATGGATGAAAAGGAGCATGTCACTTTTGGAAAAGGAAAGGACCTATCAACAAAGGAAACACCATATACAAAAGCAGAAATTTATAAAAGTTTATTTGGTTTTAAAAGTGATTGTTAACTCTTGGGGTAGGCAGAGGCTCTTTGAGAATCTGGTGAGAGATATAAATACTATCTTCCAAAGAAACACATATAGGTGCAAGCACACAAAATTTTACCTACAGCTTCAGGGTGTTCATGAACATCCAAGGTCTAATCATGACCTTCAGATTGAGAACCACAGGTTAGGAGTCAGCCTGTATTCTGGTTTGACTATGGAAAAGACTGTGCTCATTCAAGATGTACAGAAAGTATCACATATTCATTCAAAAAGTATGTATTTCACACCACGCTGTGCCAGGCATTGTTCTAGGCTGTAGCTGACTGATTGCATTAGTGGCCCCAAAGAATAGATTTCCTATATCTACCCATGGCTTGGTAACTTTGCAGTCTCTTCCATTCTGGCTCTGGGCTTGGCCATGTCACTTACCCTGTCCAGTGAGACAGTAGCAAACTTGACACAAGTAGAAGCTTGAGAAAACACGTACACATTTCCACTTCCTCTCTTGGACACCTTGCTACCCTCCTGACCCTCACATACACACACCAGGCAGTCTGGGATAACTTATTGGGGGATGAGAAGCCACATGCAGCAAGTTGAGTCTTCCCATCACAGTTATCCTAAGCCAGCCAGCACCTAGCCAACCTTCCAACTGATGTGATACATGGTAGAGACATGAGCTAGCCCAGCCAAACTCAGTCGAGTCTGGCCCAGATTAACAGATCATGCTTATTTAGAGGTTCATCAGAAATCATCAATGATTGTTGTTTTAAGCCACTAAGTATTTGGGGATAGTTTGTGATACAGCAATAGCTCACTGACACATAAGCAATGTGGATACAGCAGTGAAGAAAACAGACAATACTCTTGTACTCGTGGAGCTTACATTCTAGCAAAGAGTAAAGGGAAATGAAGGTGGAGAAAGGTAAAGCAAGACCAATTTTTGAAGGCCAGAAAGGCCTTACAGAAGATCTTGGCCACATTTCAAGAGGTAATGAGTAGCAACTGAGAGTTTTTTAAACAGCAAAGTGATATAAGTAGATTTTTATTCTAAAAAGATATTTTGGTAGCTGTGGAGAGGAGCAAGAATTGCAATGCACTGACCAATTAGAAATGTGCTCTGATAGCACCAGTGAGAAAATAAGGAGGCCTAAACCCTAGAATTGGCAATGAAGATGGAGAGAAAAGGAGTAGCTTGAGAAATATTTAGGAGGTAATGTTAAAAGAAGTTGCCAGTCATTTTTATTTGAAAAATGAAGAGAAAAGCAGAGTCGCATATGACAACAAATTACTTCTTCATTTATTTAATGAATATTTACTGAGGGTCCTCTATATGTCAAGCATACTGCGCAGGTATTAGGGATTTATTGGTGAGCAAAACTGGCCAGGAACCCTGTCTTCTGAAGTGTGGTGGTGAAGATCATTGATCAAATAGACACTTAGATAAACACACACTTACAAATTAGGACAAGTGGCATGAAGGAGAATAATAAGAAAGTTCTAATTTACAACCGGGCAGGAGCAGTTAGAGAAAGTCTCTCTGAAGACATTAAATTTAAACGAAGGCCTAATGAATGAGAAGAAATTTACCAGACAAAAAGTCAGAGGACAAGTATATCAGACAAAAACAAACAAATAAAAAATCATCTTGTTTGAAGACCTTGGGGCAGGAAAGGCTTTTGAAGATGTAAATGAAAAAGTAAGAAAATGAATAAAAGGAAGAGTGGCACAATATGAATGAGAGAGAGTAGCAGAGACCAACTTAGGCAGGGCCTGTGGTCCATGATAAGAATCTAGAATCAAAACTCAAAGTGCAGGAAGAAGTGACAAAAGGCAGGAGCAGCAGATCTGGAAGCAAATGCTGAGCTCATTATGGGAGGGACTACTAGGTTAAGGTGCCTGGAGAAATGTATGTGGACATGCCCGGATGGCATTAGAAAGGGAAGTCTGAAGGTGGTCAGAGAGGTCTGACCCAAAGACAGTGGTTTGGCAATTATTATTTGGAGGACACAGCTAAAACCAGACTTACGTTTGCAATCCCCCAAAGAGAATATGTAGATTGGAAGAGAAACCCACAAGTGGAAACTCTTGAAAAATTGAGAAAGAGACTGTAGCCTTCCCAGATGACTCAGGCTGGAATATTGTTACCAGGTCTCCACGCAATTACAGGAGGAAATTGGGGATGGAAATGAGAAGTCCAAGAGGACGCTCTTATGGTAATGGAATATTTATTTATATTCCTCTCTATGTCAAAATGTTATTATTGTTAATGAACTTGACTTGTCACATGTTGTGAATTTGGTAATAAAATAAAAACTCTAACTTGATCTTTAAGAAAAAATTTCGGACTGGCCAAAATAGCCTTTTCTCCTTGTAAATTTTTTTTAAGTCTTGGTATTGGCCTCAGTGTAAGGCCAGCCACTGTTAAATAATTTCACATGGAGCTATACCCTCTCCCTACTTCAATGCTAACTAAGATTTCAAATTTGAAGCTGCAGAGTTTGACTAAGAAAAGAAATGAAATAAATGTCAGGTGGCCCAGATTCTAATTATTGTCCTCAAAACCATTGGTAGGTGTTGAGACCTGAGCTAAATCATGTCTATCTGTACCTCAGTTTTGTCTCCTATGAAATTAGAAAAATGGGCTTGATTATGCCTCAAATCTCTTACAGAGTTCTATTAAAAAGGCAGGCCAGTAAGCCACTCTCAATGAACTTCTCTCATATCCCAAACCTACACTTATGTCATCTCATTTGATGCATACAGCCTCCTATGAGTTAAGTATTATTGTTGCCAGTTTAGAGATGGGAAGACTAAAGGTCAAAAAAGTCAGTGTTCTGGATATGAACTGGCAGTTAAACTAAATAAAATGTTGAAGTAAAGAGATACACACAGCCCTCAAAACATTGTGGCATTATAACTCCATCACTGAGATTTGTAGGGTGCTGAGCAGAATGTAAGCACTCTGACATAAGGTCTCAGGCACAAGTACACATCTCTTCAGTAGAAGTGTGAAAGCAGACAAGGACTATATGTAAACAAACATGGCCATGTTCCAATAAAATCATAGACACTGAAAAAAAAAAGGCAGTGTGCTAGTCTGTTCTCACACTGTTGTGAAGAAATACCCAAGACTGAGTAATTTATAAAGGAAAGAGGTTTAATTGACTCACGGTTCCACATTGCTGGGGAGACCTCAGGAAACTCACAATCATGGTAGAAGGCAAATAAGAAGCAACACCATCTTCACAGGGTGGCAGGGGAAATGCCAGATGCTTATAAAACCATTAGATCTCATGAGACTCATTCACCATCACAAGAGCAGCATGGGGGAACCACCCCATGATCCAATTACCTCCATCTGGTCCCGCCCTTGACACGTGGGGATTATGGAGATTGAGATTCAAGATGAGATTTGGGTGAGGTCACAGCCAAACCATATCAGGCAGTGTTATAGTAGAAAGAATTTGGGCTTTTGTGTCAGATAAGCCTGGGTTTTCATAGGTTCTAATATTTACTGTGCCAGTTATCAGTGTATCGCCTCTCAGTGCCACATTCATTCTTCATTGCCCAGTTTTGTGAGGCTGGAGCTGGACCCTATGAACATTTCTCCTTCACCGGCTGGTATTATATTAAGCTTTGTCAGTAGAGGGCACTACAGGCAAACTACAAGGGGACTTTTCTTCCTGGTTCCACACGCTTGCCTTCTTGCTCCTTGTCAATAGCAACCAGCTTGTAAAGGACATCCAGTTATGCTCATAGCTTAGCACGTTTCACCGGCATCCCAGAGGGTAGCTTCCCAGCAAATTTCAGCAGCACTTCCATGAGTGGCTCCCCAGGAAGTCTTGTCACACTCCCAGAAGACAAATCCCTGGAGAGTTTTGTCAGCACCCCAGAGGCTGGTTTCCCACTGTGGCACTTCAGCAAACCTCTCCATCCTCCAGTGGGCTATAGCCACACCCATCCAATGAGGTCTGAATCCCAGCCTTGAGGAGAGGGTGTTATCTTCCAGATGTGTTCCTTCCTTGGGTACCCTGCCTTAGCCCTAGAGGTAGTACTGCTCCCTAAATCCTCTATTCCTGCATTATTTCAAGTAACCCTTACCCCTCAGTAGTTAATCTTCCTTGTTGCTAGTTAGCAGCTCTTTATATTAAACTTTCCCTACTCAAATGAGTGTGCATTTTCTATCTTCTGACTGGACCCTGACTGATACGCTTAGAGAAATTCACTGTAAGCTCTCTAAGCTTCAGCTCCTTCTGCAAGATGAAAATAATAATACCTCTCTTGCCAAATTACCAGAAAAAAATTAGAGCTGCTGTAATATATAGCACTTAGAATGGTGTTAGTGACAAGTATGAAACAGTGGAAGCTTTTTATGATTATTATTGTTATTAAATTATTCAAGTCACACAACTAGTAAATTTTGGAGATGGGATTGAATTGGAATTTAAATGACTCTAAAGATGACTTTATTGCCACAGTTAAATGTTAACACATCCATCTCCTTAAAAACATGAGTCCTTTGAAGGTAGCAAGAGTAGAGGACTGCTTGCCACACCCCTGCCTCTGCCACCATAGTGCTAGGCCCCTACACACAATGACCTCGGGCCATTGCTCACACTCCACAGAGGTGGTATTAAATCTGGCAGCTTCCACTCCAGGTTGCTCTGGGCCACAACTAAGGCCGGCTCTGTGACCTTGGACAAGGTGTGTCCCCTCTCTGAGATGTTTTGTAGAACAGAAATAGTAAGAGTGGCTATCTCACAGAGGTGGAGTAGCAGAGACAGTATGAAACATTAAGCTGCAGCCGCCCTCCACGAGACCCCTGAACTGAGCAGGGGCTAGGGCAGGAGTGAGAGCTCAGCCCCGGCACTCTGGCCTCTGGACAGCAGCTCGGGTTCAGATTTCTTAAGGAAAATGATTTACACCTAAACCCATTCCAAAAGTGTCTCTGGATAAATTGGCTCTTGGTCAAATTATAAAAAAGAAAAATAATAACTAATTTTTGAGCACTTTATCCCTTGCTAAGCATGTCACATGGAGTGACTTATTTATTCATCATCATAACCCTAGCCTACCCCTATTAATAATATGCACATAACACCATATATCTATAGAGTTTTTTTTTTGGTTAAAGCAAACTTTCACATCTTTAATTCCCTTTATCTTCACCATGAGTCTAGGTGAACATTTTTATTATCTCCAATTATAGCTGTGTAAACAAGCCCAGAGAAGGGAGGTGACTTGCTAGTTGCAAGGAGAATTAGTGACAGAACCAGAGAACCCAGGTCTCAATCCCAGGCACCAGTGCTTTTTCAACTACAGGACTCAGCTGCAGAGACAAACACGGAATAAAATCGAACAATATGGAAAACCTCAAGAACAAGAATTGCTGCCATGCCAGGCATGGTGGCTCACACCTGTAATCCCAGCACTTTGGGAGGCCGAGGTGGGCAGATCACCTGAGGTCAGGATTTTGAGACCAGCCTGGCCAACATGGTGAAACCCCATCTCTACTAAAAATACACAAATTAGCCGGGCATGGTGGCGCACGCCTGTAATCCCAGCTACTCAGGAGGCTGAGGCAGAAGAATTGGTTGAACCCTGGAGGCAGAAGTTGCAGTGAGCTGAGATTGCGCCATTGCACTCCAGCTCAGGCAACAGAGCAAGACTCTGTCTCAAAAAAAAAAAAAAAAAAAATCAACTACAGGACTTTTCTTCTGTTCTTGACCTCCCCACCCTCTTCCCACAGATTCCTGCTTCACCCCACCCTCCCTCCTGCCCCTTCTTCTGCCTCTGATGCCTGCTATAAACTTTCCCCACCTCCTGCTCACAGACTCTGTGTTCTCAATTATGGAATCTTGGTTTGAGGGTATGCTCTGCACCAGCTGGCTGCATAATCTTGGAGAATCACTTCTGCTCTCTGGCTCTTAGTAGCCTCGTCTGTGAACAAGGAGAGGGATGGTACTATGTAATTCCTAAGGGCCCTTCTAACAGCAAATAGCCTGAACAGAAAACGGCTGATAAACCCATTTATACTAAAGTGTGACTGATTGCTGAGCAGGCTTGCTCGGTCATCTCATCAAAGAGAAGTTGCATTAAACAGGGGATGGCTGAAGAGGGTATTATTTAGCCAAAGGAATGACTCTGTCATTATAGAATGAAAGATACCTGGGGCTACCTAGCTGCAGTGTTTTGGACAACTTAGGGTTGGGAGATTCATGAAACGTTTTAGGTCTATCATATAAGCATGTTTCAAGCCCCCACAGAGATCATGGCCCATCCATACTCAAACTCCCTGTAGGTTATAGCATAAAATCCCTTGCCTGCTCCAACCCCTTCTTCCAAATCTATCCATTACTGCTTGCCCTTGTGCTTCCCCTCAAGCCAAAAGGAGCCCCCATTATTGCTCAAACATGGCTCTTTCCAACTCTTCATCTCTGCTATATACCAACCTCCTCTGGAGTCAAATTCCCTTTCCCTCCCTCCACTGACAAATTCCAATCACTCAGGGGGACCCACTCATATACACCATTTTCCTGAACTCTCTTTCAACCTACTTTTCTAAGTGGACATTTCTCCCTCTCCTCCAACCCCTTGGAAGGCTCACCTTGCACCTCTGATGACTCCGATGGCATTAGCACATGTGATCACCGTCACTAGGGAGCAGGCCCCTCGAGGGCAGAGGCTGCTTGTCTTAAAGTTTGTACAGAAAGTACACCTTGTAGACTCTCAGTAAGTGCCAGATGAATTGGATTAAGGAACTAACTGCCAGTGAGTGTTTGGAAGAGGCAATATGAAGAGTCATGTGCCCCCAGAAGTAGTTTGGAGCCACCTCCCCCAGCCTCTTTAGGCCATTTAAAGGCCATGGAAATACACCACCAGCTGCCCTTCACGAGGCCCAGCCAAGGATGCCGATGTGACCGCCACGGCTGCTGCCCCTCTACACCCTCCACCCCATGTGCACTGAGGCACAGCTTCCCTGGACAAGCACCCAGCCAATGACAGGCACGGTGGGGTGCTGGTGCCCACCCACTCCTACCAGATGTGGGCCTCCAGCCGTGGGCTTCTTGGCTTGGGAACTATGACAGCAGCCTGGCCAAGACTACCCTGGGGTGTGCTGCAGTCTGAGACCTTCCTGCCCAACCCTCCTTGCTTACCAGGTAACAGATCTGCTTTCCCAGGTAACAGATCTGCATCAAGGCTGCCAGCTCACCCTGCCAACTCCTGCTGTCTCTCCTTTAACCTTCATAAGCATTCCCCGAATACATCTCTCGAACAAGTAACCTTTCTTGGCATGTGCTTCTCAGAGAACCTCAACTAACATTTCCTCTTTGCTGGAGATGAGTTCACACATGATCAGCAAATGAGACCCATGTCCTTCATTTCTCCCTGCCCAGGAGCCACTGGGAGGACTAGCATCTGGAGACTGGATCCCCAGATCCCTTGCTCTATTCTCTCAGACCTCTTCAGCTCTCTGCACCTCCTTCGTGCTGACGTTGGCCTGCTTGCCACTCTGGGCCACTCCACCCCACAAATTTGACCCTCCAGCTACCTCCCTCCCAGCCTCCAACACAACTCTACTTCCTGGCACTGACCTCATCTTCCTCCCACGACTCCTGCATCAGGCTGGGCTGTGCCTCCTCAGACCCAGCCCTAGGGCTCCTCCCACAAGTGGCCTGCTTGAGGGGCAGCCTCCACCACCCATACATCCTCCACATTGGTGGTGGGGTCTCTGGTGGGCACAGCTTCCATCAGCTTCCATCTCCTAAGGAAAGCCAGGGTGGCCCCATTGAGGCCCTATCTGAGGGACCTTCACAGAAATGCCCGCCCAAAACAATGACAATGACCAGAGTGGGAGACACCCGCATGTCTTATGCACCAAATCCAGGAGAGGCAGAGATGTGTCACAACTGGAGCAGGAACTAGGGAGCTCAGACCCAGAGGAAAGGATTCAGAATGAGCACACTGGGATCAAACAGGAGAGAATGGGTTCCCAAAAGATTACCTCGGGTGCAGCTAGGACTGCTGTGGGTCAGCTGAGTGTCTCGGGATGAGGCTAGCCTGCCTCCAAGGGCAGATGGAAGGGATAAGCCATCACTGTGCCCACCCAGGCCTTGGCCACCCTACTCAAACAGCCTGGGAGGGCATGCAGCTGCCCTGGGTTCCTCCAGCAAAGCCTGAGATGGGCCTTGCTCTGCCTTGTTTGCCCCGTTCACCACCCCCATTTCCTGTCTTCCCTTTGTTCCTTGCCACGAGTTTCTCTCTGACTCCTCCCAGATACTGCAGAGGGCTGGACATTGACCCCCACAACCCTGCCACCAGTCACATAATTGCAGCTGTGCCCCTTCCAGCTGATTATCACCCACCGCCATCCCACCAGACGACTCTGGATGGCATCACATCTATGCACTGAACCACTGCCCCTGGAGACCTCCATCCTGTCCACCCACACTGCCACTCCATCGTCCCAGCCAAGGCTTCCTCCTTTTCACTGGGCCAAGCCCCTGAAGCCCCTGTGAAGTTCAAGGTCAAGTCTGCGACCAGAGGCTAATGACTTTTGTCTTTGGACCTCAGGATCCCACCTTACATTGAGGAAGTAGGTCCTCTCCAGATCATCCCTCAGAGCCTGCCCAATCTGGTAATCTCATAAGAATTTGATCCCATAATCCCGTAAGCACTTGGTTCTCAGTATCTCTTGTGCAAACACTATCTGTTTTCCCTTCCTTGTTCTCTGGAAGGGGCCACTAGGCCAGGCCGCAGCCATCTCCTGGCATCCGTTGCTACCCAATCTCTTTGTGAAGGGACTTCCTGTGCAGGAATAAGGAGACCTTCCCACTCCCCAGCCCGCTCTGTTCCACATCCCAGCCACTGGTACAGTGACCTTCCCACTCAGATCCACAGAAGGGGAGACTAAATAAATCCTTCGCAGACCCCAACACACACTGACGGCCACACATCTGCTGCACCTCCACTGTTCACTCTCACATGGGGAAAACACACGGACTCCCTAACACACATCCTCACACTCGCTACCCAGCACTTCCAATCGCTTCCTGTCTTAGAAACGCTCTGAGTTTATCATCGCTCTACACATTTCTAACACGTACAAACTCTTACACAAGCCCTCCCAATCCTCCTGCTCACATTCCTTCTCACTCTCTCTCTCTCTCACACACACACACACACACACACACACACACACACACACAGAGGGATCACTCCTTTCTTCACAGGGAAGAGGCACTGAACTCGGGCTTTGACCCTAGCTTCTCTCCTGGCATCTCCCCGGGGTAAAAAGGTGCTCCGCTCAGGACCTGGCTGCCCAAAGCCCCTGTCTCTGCTCTCCCACACACCCAACCAGCCTTCAAAGCCTCTCCTTCTCATTGCAAAGGCCAAAGTGAGCTACAGACAAAATCATGAAGACAACAAATGATGTTTTCTAAGTACCGAATAATGCTCTCAGGTGATGGAGGAAGTGCGAATGGCTGTGAGCTCTTGGACTTGAGCAGGGCTGACTACAAGAGGCTCCAAAGGAGAAGGAGTGGGTGGAGAAGAAGCTGAGCCTGAAAAATGGCACTCACCCCCTCAGGCACAGGAAGGGGGCTGGGAGCATTTGTAAGTGCATCATTTCTGCACCCCACCGCAAAACATAGCTATCCTTCCATACCAAGGGGCCACTTATTTAGCCAGTTTCCTCATCCTAAAACAGTAACTAGCATTGATGAGTACTTATTCTGAGCCAGGGACTGTGATAAATGCTAGACATATTTTAACTCATTTAAATTTCCTAACAACCTTACAAGGTAAACATTATTATAATCACTGTTTTTACAGGTGAAAAACAAAACTGAGGGTTAAGAGAGTTTAAAGTAACTTGCCCAAGGTCACCCAGCAGGTAAGGAAGGTTATATACAATCTGTGTGACCCCCCAAGCCTGCCGGTGTTAGAAACACCAGCCTCCAGCACCTCCCTATCCTCACTTCTAAACTCAGACAGAACCAAATTCAAATCCTGGCCCCACCATTGACTGACTGTGACTCCAGGTAAGCTACTCAATCTCGTTAGCCTCCATTTCCACACTTGTGAAATGAGAATAAAAGGACCTGTTTGGCAGAGTTATTGTAAGGACTACCGAGGGTTCACCTAAAGCACTTAACATATTGCCTAGCCCATAGTAGGTCCTCAACAAATGTCTCATCTCTGTCTTCTTGTAAAATTATGGCAGTACCTTCAAAGACCAAAGCAAGCCTACGAGGTAAAAGCCGAAGCCCAGGATATCAGATTTGGAAAAGGCCAGGCGTGAAGCTTTTTCAAATGTAGTTTTTAGTATAAATAAAAAATAATGTTCTCCTTCCTACCACGGAGGTTAGCCATATGGAACTCATTTCCCTGAGAGGCGGTGCGGGCTGAAGCCATGAGCAGGTTCAACTCAAGCTGAGATTGTTTGATGGATGACCGAGCTAGAAGGGGCTATTACAGATGAGTAATAACACCTCCTGTTTGTCCTGCATTTTACAGTTTACAAAAGCTTGCCCACCCATTATCTCATCTGATCCTCACAGCCACCCTCAGAGGTGGGCAATGTGGTCAAGGACATCAAGAATGAGGTCATCTCCATTTGACAGATGATCCATTTGACAGATGAAGAAACAGAGGCCCAAAGAGACAGCATGCTGCACCCGTAGTGATGGTCGGGCCTCAAAGAAAACCAGGCCAGCTGACAGTGGCCCCAGGACCCTTTCCAGAAGGGCAGGGGGGACTTCCTGTTAATAATAGCAGTAGCTAATACTCATTTGCCAGCAGGGCCAGGACAAGGGCAAAATGAGAAAGACACCCAGAACACAAAAGTTTTTTGGTTTTTGGGTTTTGGTTTTTGGTTTTTTTTTTTTAGACGGAGTTTCTCTCTTGTTGCCCAGGCTGGAGGGAGTGCAGTGATGTGATCTTGGCTCCTTGCAACCTCCATCTCCTGGGTTCAATCGATTCTCCTGCCTCAGCCTCCCAGGTAGCTGGGGGTACAGGTGTGCACCACCACACCCAGCTAATTTTGTATTTTTAGTAAAGACGGGGTTTCACCATGTTGGCCAGACTTGAACTCCTGACCTCAGGTGATCCCCCCACCTCAGCCTCCCAAAGTGCTGGGATTACAGGCGTGAACTACTGCGCCCAGCCCAGAGCACAAAATTTAAGGAGGCAAGCAAGCACAGGGTGAGTGTCTCCATAGATTTTTGCACCCTAGGCAGCTTACCCTAGTCCCAGCCCTGCTTTCCAAGCTCTGTTCTAAACACTTTATACATCTTAGCTTACTTAATCCTCATAACAAACCATAAAGCAGATACCATATCATCACCTTCTACAGACATGGACAACAAAGACACTCTTTTGCAGACATGGGAAAGAGAGAGGTGACGTAGATTGCTTAAGGTCTTATAAGAAGAGTTCACACTCATGCACTCAACTATCCTACCTACCCTGCCACACTGCCTCTGACCATGGCTACAGTCTCTAGGGCTCACCAGCATGGCCCTTCCAAGGAAGATCAATGAGTAAAACTGCAGAAGAAAGGAACTGACATTCAATGTGTTCCTGAAATATATACAGTCAACTCGTGTTTGTTATTTGCAGTAGTTATCTTCTGTAAAGTTACTGTGAACACAGAATTTGTGAATGCTGAACCATCTTTCCTAGGGGAAGTACAGAGTTAGGTTCCTGCAACCTCCGGTTGTTGCATTGTCATCAACTAATCAATACATAACTTTGTTTTATGTATTTCTGTTTAAACACACCTTATTAAACAAATACTGTTGATGTATTTAACATTGAACTCACATCCAATAGCACTGCAGCTTATACACAAACAAAGCTTATGTAACACACATTCTGTCCAGAAGGCATATTATAGACTTCTTGCTGTTAGAAACACTAGACAGTACTTTAGTATTACTCTTGAGGCCATCATAAACAGCAACATGGCCAAGAAAAAAGCACAAAAATGCAAACAACATAGCACTAAACAGATCATGAAGCGGCAGGAAATTGCGTTGTTCAGCCTCAGATGGAAACATGCATCAAGTAACTCAAATTTATCACCACAATGTACATGTCCACAGATGGCTGCAGAAACACCACAAGCATTATTTGGGGGTTACAAATAAATTTTAGTAAGTAGGTAAATTTGCAAATAGGAAATCTATGAATAATGAGCCGTAGATATGTACACACACACAATCATTATACTCACTTTACAGAGAAGGACACAGAGGCTCAGAGAGGCCCACTGACCTGCTCACTGCTGTATAGCTCCTAAGTGGCAGGATTTGAACCGAGGGTCATTCCTCCCAGATTTCCCGCCTTCAAAGACGGATGTTTGGATCTTTTCCATCATTCCTGGTCCTCCTTTTATGAACCCCAAAGAGCTCAGTGTTGTGTCACATAGGATTTGAAAGAATCAGAAGACCCAGGCTTGAGAGCCAGCCTGACCCTCAGTTTTCCCGTCTGTAAATGGAGATAACAGCTCCTTCCTCACCTGAGGGTTGTCAGGATGCTAATGAACCTGCAGGTGTTTGAAGTGTGAGTTACTGACTTTACTTCGCCTGCAAACAGGCCTTTCCCATTAAAGCTAATGCTTCCATTCCGGTGCTATCCCACTGAGCAGACTGGGATAGGTCCTGGCCCTCCCCCAGCTGGAACTGAGAGCCCTTTCCTGGCAGGCCTGGGGCTGTGAGAGGAGCCTATGAGCACACTCCGGAAAAGGATGCTCGTGCTTTCTCCAGTGGACAGTAATCCCTCACAGTCCCTTGCCTTCCTCCAGAGCCCAAGGTTTATTTTTAGAAACACAATTTTTTCTCCCTTTTCTTTTTCCTTCCAGGGTCCGATAGTGCAAAGATGGCTCCCGTAAGAGGCCCCTGTGCAAGCTGAGCCTGTGGCACTGTGGAAAGACTCCACACTTTGAAGTTAGACAGCACTGTGTCCAAATGCCAATGCCGCTAATAAGTGCATGACCCTCACTCGCCTGCTTGGACCCTCGGTTTTCTTATCGCAAAATGCAATGAGTAAAATAGTACCTGCCTATTGAAGGATTGATTGAAGAATTAAATGGGTTAAGGTCCTTTGCACTTTGCTGCTCCAAGCATGTCCTGGGACCAGCAGCATAGGCAACACCTTTTAGAAATGCAGGAACTCAGGCCCACCCCAGACCTACTGAATCAGAATCTGCTTTTTAACAAGTCCCCAGGTATGTATTAGAGTGTGGGCAGCATTGCCTTGGCACCCTGCCCAGCAGGTAATAGGTGTCAAATAAATACTATTATTGTTATTATATGGGTCCAATCCTCAAGTTGTTTACAGATAACTAATATGAGCACACAGATCATTAATGCAGGGCTAGTGGCATTTTGGGAAGGTAAGCAAATCGTCTGGGAGTAGAGATGGGAGAATGATTCCAACATTTGGGGGACTCAGCTAAAGCTTTTGACCTCAGCTTTGCCTATTGTTTTTGTTTGTTTTGGTTTGGTTTTGCTTTAATAATGTTCCGTCTTTTTAAATAAGTGTTTAACCTTTATTCTACACTAACTGTTCTAAGCTCTGTTCTGGGCCCTGTAGAGAGAAAGCTGAATGAAGCCATGTTTCCTTTGAAGTAGTTTACTGTCTAATCAGAGACACATAAACCAATAAACCAACAATCTCAAACTTTTTTTTTTTTTTTTTGAGACAGAGTCTCGCTCTGTCGCCCAGGCTGGAGTGAAGTGGCGCAATCTTGGCTCACTGCAGCCTCAGCCTCCCGAGTTCAAGCGATTCTCCTGCCTCAGCTTCCTGAGTAGCTGGGATTACAGGTGCCTGTCACCATGCCCAGGTAATTTTTGTATTTTTCATAGAGACAGGGTTTCACCATGTTGGCCAGGCTGGTCTTGAACTCCTGACCTCGTGATCCATCCGCCTCCGCCTCCCAAAGTGCTGAGATTACAGGCGTGAGCCACTGCGCCCAGTGAAAATTTTTTTTTAAAAAGTGTTATGATACAGAGATGGAAGCCAACAGGCCATGGAATAATGAATGGCTGGGGAGCTCACAGGACAAGATTGCCCCTCGGCCTTCCATCCCAGGGCAGACAACAATGCTTTGAACATTTTGCTATTTCCTATCATACCTCCTTTATCTTCTCTCTCCTTTTTCTCCCTCTCTCTCTCTCCCCACCTCCCCCACCTCTCTCTTTCTCTCTCCCTCACTCCCTGTCTCTCTCTCTCAGTGTTTTCACATAGTTGGGTCATATTATATAAATCTGCACATTGCCTTTTTGGCTAACATTATTACGTAAGTATTGCCCTATATGTAACTGACATGGTGAACAAATAGGACTCATAGGATGTGGTGCTTTTATTTTTGTCTCATAATAGCCTTTAAAATACATCGGGAAAAATTGTTCCTCCTCTGCCTCTAGATGAAAATTATGACAGTTCTCATGAATCTTCCGTTCACACGTATGTGATTTAAAAAAAAAAAAAAGCCCTGCCTTCTTTTTAAATCAAAGATGTAGTCTCAATTCAAGTATTAAAAGTCCCATGGAATAATCAGAGCTCCAATTTTCATTCAAAGGGTCAGCTACTTCCCCTCCCCATAGCTAGGGGACTGCTGCAAGCCAGAAGCTTTCTTTGCAGGGGAGTAGGTTGAGGAAAGGTATGATCCTTCTTCCCTCCTTCTCCACCTGATACTTCCACACTTCCTCACCCTTCTTACTAACTGTGCCTCCTCGCTCCCCAGGGATGGGGAGAGAGGAAAGAGAGGTAAAATGAGACAGGCAGGTAAGTTCTTAATGGACTGGTACTGTCATAAGACAGCTTTATCACACTCTCAGCTCAGCTGTGTTTAAAGCTCAGTCTGTGAGCTCTAAGCCCCACACCTGCAGTTCCTTTGACGCGCTGCTCCTGCAGCCCCAAGGAACCCAAACACTCGCCTCTCGCCTCTTTCTACAGAGTCTGTTTCTCCCTCTACCTCTCACACTAGCTCCCTCTCACACGTGGCCCACGCTCAATCCATGGGAAATACTCGGGCATTCTTTGTTCCAACAAACTCTGGGAATGTAGTTATTTTATAACGGAGGCAAAGGGTCCAGTAGCTATCAGACACCAAGGTAAATTGTAAGGCGGAACACCCTGGAGGTCTTCGTGGTTATAAATTTAATGAGTAGGCGTATGTGTGCCTCCCAATGTGTATTCTCCTTTTCTTCCATGGTTACGGTACCCAAATGTTTAGTTGGGAACACTGTTGTGGTTATGTTTTACCACTGAAATATAAACAAAGTGTTGTATGAGGAATTCTAAGATGTCTCCTTAAAGTGACAGCATACATACATCATCCTGTTGCTTGAAATGTGGATGTGATGGATGGCTGGTTCTCCAGCACCCATCCTGAGCCACGAAGACTGAGCCTCACTCTAAGGATGGGGAGTGGAAAGCTGGAAAGAGGCTGACTATTGAGCCATCTCACCAGGTGTGGACTGCCTCCCTCTAGACTTCACTTATTCAGAGAAATAAGTTTCAATCTGGCTTAAATCACTATTTTAGGTATTTCTTAGCTAAGCCTAGTCCTGACAGACTATGTAGTAATCCATTATATGGCTATTGTTTACTTGATCATAATTCTAACGTTATTCTTCAAGATGGTTTCCAATTTTTACTATTAGGAATAACACTGTGATGAACTGTTATCCATTCCATATTCCTGGTTTGTGGGGCTTTCTTTCTTGTGCTTTTTTTTTTTTTTTTTTTTTTGAGACAGAGTCTCGCTATGTTGCCGAGGCTGGAGTGCAGTGGTGAGATCTCAGCTCACCACAACCTCCAGCTCCCGAATTCAAGCAATTCTCCTGCCTCAGCCTCCCAAGTAGCTGGGTTATAGGTACCTGCCACCACGCCTGGCTAATTTTTTTGTATTTTTAGTAGAGATGAGGTTCTGCCATGTTGGCGAGACTGGTTTTGAACTCCTAACCTCAAGTGATCCTCCTGCCTCGGCCTCCCAAAGTGTTAGGATTACAGGCATGAGCCACCACGCCCAGTCCCTGGTTATTTTCTAAGTTGGAAAATAAAGCTCTTCTTGTAGATATAGCTTCATGTTGCTTTCCTAAAGTTATACTCTTTTATGTTTCCAGATGCAGCAGGGTGTAGGTCCCATCATTCACATTTTAAACCTGCATGTGGACTTTAGAACACAACCCACTGTATTTGGCAGCTTTTGTTTCCATAATGCTGCATAACAAACACCCCAAAACTCAATAGCTTTTGACAACAAGAATTTATTCTCACAATTACAGATCTGCAAATCAATGATGGTTCAGTCAATTCAGGCTAGGCTTGGCTGGGAAGCTCCACTTCAGCCTGCTGGACAGCTAAGTGTAGCGGCAAACTGTGGTCAAGTCTGCTCCACATATTTTTATTCCAGGGCCCAGGCTGAAGGGGCAGCAGCTACCCAAGAGCATGCTCTTCTTGTGGTGGATCAATCACTGGAGCCCAAGAGCCAATCTCTTGGGCTTGGCTGGAAGATTCCCTAAAGTCTCTCAGCCCCTGATAAGGTGATATAAATGATCCAGGGCCTGACAGTGATGCTATTCAGAGAAGCCTCGACAGCAAATTCCACTTGCAAAGGCAGGAAGCAAGTGGCAAGTTCTTCCCTAGATATTTTCAAAGAATAGAGTGTGTTAATTTGTCTAATTAAGCAAGATTTGGGTTCTAGAAGCAATGATGATTAAGCAGCTATATCTTTGCTAGTTGTTTTCGGAAATATCATATCAATCCTCAAAACAAACAGATCTGTCGACAAGCATTAAGGTTACAGAGGCTTAAAACTGAAATAGAGACAAGAAGAAATAGTTTAGAATTCCCCACCCACCCCCTAGTCAGTGGTAAGGACCTGATGTTTGTCACATAGGAAGAAGGGTTTCAGTGTGTCCCAACCTGTGGGCAAGCAGAGGGCAGAGGTTAAGGCCAGTGGCCCTCACATCAGACTTCCTGGACTCAAATCCTAAGTTTGCCATTTTTTTCTTTTTTTCTTTGAGATGGAGTCTTGCTCAGCTGCCCAGGCTGGAGTGCAGTGGTGCAATCTTGGCTCACTGCGACCACCGTCTCCCAGGTTCAAGTGATTCTCCCGTCTCAGCCTCCCGAGTCGCTGGGATTACAGGCACCCGCCATAACGCCCAGCTAATTTTTGTATTTTAGTAGAGATGGGGTTTCACCATGTTGGCCAGGCTAGTCTTGAACTCCTCCCTCAGCCTCCCAAAGTGCTAGGATTACAGGCGTGAGCCCTCGCACCCAGCAAATTGCCATTTTCTAATTGTACAAGGTATTTATTTTTTCTGTGGCTCAGTTTCCCCATTGATAAAAAGAGGCCATGATAGCATATATTTCATAAGGCTATTGACAAGGTTTAGTGAAATAATGCACCTAAATTTCTTAAAACAGCACCAGGCACAGACAAAGTGCTTAATAAATGTTAGTGTTATGCCAGGGCAGCAACATTTAACTTCCATCAAAACTCAGATTGACCAAGAGCATGTGGCCCCTTTGTTCTGTCTACAACTTTTTTCCTACTAACTAGTAGATTTTCTGTATTTTTTTCCAACGTTTATGAATTTCAAAGAAGGAAGTATAGAATAGTGTTTTAGTTTACATTCGAGTGGATAATTAATGAGGTTAATTCTTTTCTCATATATTCACCAGTTAGAATATTTTTAGAAGCATTTCAGTATGTCTAATCTTTGTCTTCTAACGGATTTGAATTTTGGAAATAGCCAAAAGCCATTCAAAAGGACAAACTGATTGTTTTAATATCTAATAAAGTTTGAACCTTCGTATTACACGATAATTTAAATGGTCCCTTCAAAGAATGGTCCCCTCTGAGGGGAAATAAAGGCTTAGTTTCTCAAACACATCAGTCTTCTAGCTCCCCTCCAAGATGACATCTGCATATGAAGAGGGACAGGTGGAGCTTGAACACCTTCGCGGCAGGCAAAAGGTCAGATTCCTCTTACTCTTCTAGGCAGGGTTAGGTGGAAGTCCCTGATCCACCTGCGTGCATCTTACCCTACTGGGATTCACAGCTGAAGTCTGTGTCTGTACAAGAGTAACTTACAGCCTAGGTTTTCCTCAGCAGATCAGAGCCCAGGGGACTGCCTTGCTAGCTCTCGCTCTCTGCAGCTTTTTGGACTCATCTATTGGGTCTAGACTCCTTCCCATTTGCTGTGACTCCAATTGGCCTGGCCCAGGTGGTCCACTGGGCAGCCCTTGCTACGGAGTACCTTGACCTTGCCCAGCCATGGTGACTCCCATTGGTAATACTCCCCAGCCAAACTCCCACCATTTTCTGGGTCCATCTGTGCCTCACTGGAAATAAGAATGGCTCAGGAAAACTAAGTGTCAAGGACTCCCTCTGCCAGGTCATACCACACTGCCATGTGGATGTGGTCACACCCCAGGATGACAGTCTATTCTGCAGAGTCTCAAGCAGGAAGAAGGACAAAAGCTTCCTCTGCCCTTGGTGATATCCCCACTCATCCAATAGGCCTCCCTATTTTCTGGGCCAAAGCTGGGAGAATACATGATCAAAACTGATTCTCTCATCTTCTTCTTCCTCTTTCTCTCTCTTTCTCTCTATCACAAAGGGCCCCAAAATGACAGATTTCCCCTGCATCATGCCCTCCATACTTCAGTTTCTTAGAGATACCCTAATAAAGGATATGGGTATTTTCTCTGCACTTAGGGAGAACTCCATAAACTGGTTCAATCAGGCTGCATTGTTGAAAAGCCAAAGGGAAGGATTAAAGAAATTTGGAAATGGTTTTTCAAGACAACGCCTGGCTTGCAAGGTTATTGTCTTGCTGAATAATTCTATTTGACATGCCAAAAGAGAAATATTAACTTGTTCTTTCTTTTTGCATTCCTTCTGTTATAAATCATAGTCTTCTTCCAGGATGATGGATGCCTCAAGACACCTAGAGCAAAGGTCAAGAAAGGAAGGAAGCAAAATAGAAAAGCACATTAATAGTTTTCAAAACATTACCTCCATTAAGCCATTATGATTGGCTGCAATTATAATTGTCCTTTCCTTTTTTTCTCCTAATTGGGCTTAGAGCTTCTCAACTATATGTTATGTATAAGAATTAGTGTGAACATTGTGGGCCTTGTTGGAATCCTCATTCCAACAGACCAACTGTAAAAAGACTTTTTAGGCAATAAAGGAAACTTGGTATTAGATGACATCAATAAATTGTTAATTTTGTTAAATGTGACAATGATACTATGCTTAGGTTAAAACCCTTCAGTTTTTTAAAAGTAGACTTAAATATTTAGGGCATAATGACGTGATGGCTACAATTTGCTTTAAAATATTACAAGAAAATAAAAGCTGGGGAAGCTAGTTGATGGATGAAACAAGTGTGGCAAAATGCTGATGGTTGTAGAAATGGAATGAAGGCCACAGAAGAATTTTATCATACACAATTTATTTATCAGCTGGGTATGGTGGCTCTTGCTTGTAATCCCAACACTTTAGGAGGATGAGGTGGGAGGATCATTTGAGCCCAGGAATTCCAGACCTGCCTCGACAACATAGCAATATCTTATCTCTACAAAAAATAAAAATAAAAATTAGCCAAGTGTAGGGGCAGGGGCCTGTGGTCCCAGCTACTTAGGAGGCTGAGGCAAGAGGATCACTTGAGCCCAGGAGTCAGAGGCTGCAATTAGCTATGGTCCCTTGATTTTTTCCTAGGCTTTACAAACAACCTCTAAAGACCCTGTTCCAGGCGAAGCTGAAAGTTTCCCTCAGCTAACAATGCTGATTCATTAAAATAAATAAACAGCCTCTCAAATTTCACAGACATTATACGCCTTTGGATGATACTAACAATGTTGATGATGACAGCTGTAATGTATTTTATACTAACTATGTGCCAAATTTTCCAGAAAAGTGTCCCTTGCTGCACAGAATGAACATCCAAATTCAGTCTATTGCAAAAATACAGCCCAGGGCAGACTGCAGGAAGTATAAAAATTCGTTGCAGTGTTCTGTTTTATCTTTTAAGTGAATATGATTTTTTGTACTCTGTTCCATATAGTAGTACTTGCTAACATTTATTGAGTACCTAAAACAGATGCTATTCTAAGCTTTTTACATGTATTAATTATTTAATCTTCATAGCATGCCTATGAAACTGGTGCTATTATTCCATCCATTCTGCAGGTGAGAAAACTGAGGCGCAAAGAGCTTAAGTAACTTACCTAAAGTTCAAGTAACTTACCTGAAAGATAAAGTGCCAAACCAGCAAGTATCAGAGCCAGAATTTGGACCTAGACAGTCTGGCTCCAGAAGCTGTTTCCTTAACCACTGTGATATATTTCCTCCATAATGTCCTTATGCTCTCTTTGAATTAATAAAATCAATGATATCTTCAAATTCACTGTGCATTCATAGTTTAGAACATCATTATCCATCCTGTGCCTTCTCTGGAGGTTGACAAGTGTAACCGTGGAATCAAAGTTACAACTACTCTGAGTTGGAGAAGCACAAACATGTACTATTATCTTCGGTCCTCACAATAACAGAGCAAAGTCAGTAATATTGTCATGTTTTAGAGCTTTACAAAATGAGAGGTGACTCCTTTCACTGGGACAGGCTCTTCTTTGAGTTTTTATAAAAACTGGTAAAATCAAAAAGGAAAGGAGGTTGGGCAAAGTCTGAACAAGCAATCAAAATTTCCTTCCACTGTCCCCTTTGGTCTTTACTGATGGCAAACCTACAACAGGCTGCTTCTCAGGCCTAAGCCAAACTTCCAACATACACTCACACACACACACACAAACACACACACTCAGCTTAGAGAGGCTGGAGCTACGAGCAAGTCCAGTCACGTTCCATGGGAGCCAGCACAACTTCTACAGCAGATGGTAATAAATGCACAGCTATGGATACATGGTCCATGGATACATGGAGGAGCCAAGAGCCCCCAATAAATTCACTCTGTCCCAGATTGTCTCTCCAGTCTCTAACAATACCTTTCAGCATTGAGAGACCACAATAGACCTTCCAAGGTCAAATTAGAAAATTCACAGAAAACATTTTTCCAATAAGCATTTAAGAGGCAGCATGAAGTAGTGGGGAGTGTACCCCCTGTAAGGCCAGTCAGACCTGATTTGATTCCCAGCTCCTGTGCTCTCAAATTCTGTGGCCATGGGCAAATTATGCGGCTCCTGTCACCAAGCCTCCATTTCCTTTGACTTGCATAATCGTCAAAGTAACAGATACCGCACAAGGTTGTTATAGAACTAAATGAGATAGCATATGTGAAGGTACTAGCCTTGTTCTTGGGAAATCATAAGAACTTAATAAATAACAAACAGAATTAATTTGAGTTGCATGATAGTATGTATATTATACACATACACATTCACATACACTTGTATATGCATGGACTATTTCAGGAAACTAGTCTCCTGAGAAGAAGGACTAGATAAGTTTCTAGGGTCAGACGGAAATGTCGTTTTCACTCTATACCTTTCTATACTGGTTGAATGTTTCCAATATGGATATATCCCCTTCTCAAAAATATTTGTAATGTCTGTTGTTGTTGTTTGCTTCCCAGGAGGCTTTTGGAAGACCAGACTTTGTTATCTGCAGCCTGGTTTCTTCACCCTCTTTTGCCCATCACATTCATTGAAGGCCCGACTGTAGGATCAGACTCCACCTACCTTGAATGTATAACCATCAGCGCACAAAATAATAGGTGAGATACATCATAAAAGTTGACATGCTAAGCCTACTTAGCATGCTTATAAGTGGCCAGCCAAGCTAGGGTGACAGAGTCGGGAACTGTAGAGTTGTTCCTTGTCCTTTGAACCTTGGTAGTGTGGTTCCAACTCATGCAATTAACCAGTAGGCCACAGTGCTTCTAGACATGCTATCATGCTTCTCACCAATTATTAGTTACCGTCCATAGCCCATCAGCTGGAGCCCCTGACTCTCACTCCTGCTCCCAGAGGGCCTGGGGGCTGTCTTCCTTCCCCTGCTCCCTCCTTTCCACCCTAGCCTGAACCACTAGCAAAGTGCAACCCATGTTCCTCCTGGAAGCTCACTCCACTGCCAGATGCTGGTTTGCCCCAAGCCCATTGCAGCTGATCCAGATGCCATCCCCCACCCCCAAAGTTTCCAGAATCAAGACCAATACTATTACATCCCCTGGTACCCTCAGCTAAAATAATATCCCCAGACCCCAGCAGGCTGGCGGCACAAATGAGGTCACATTAATAATTCAGATGTTACTGGTTCAGAGCCCTCACATGCTGATGAAGGAATTTGGCCTTCCTCAAAGTCTCGCCTGGTTTTTCTGAGACATCTCACAAACACTAGGTTCTGTGCTACCCTCAGTGATATCCTCAGCTTACAGGCTTCTCGAGGAGGGCTCCTCCCGGCTGCCATCCCCATTGTGAGAACAGCGCTTCCCTCCCACAGCTCCCTGGGCATCACACACCAAACTCACTAAACTCTGTTCAGTCCTCACTGCAGCCCTCCGGTCATTCCGTATTCCATGGATAACTGGGGAAGGGGCCTTCACCCCCAGAGCTGTATTTTACCTGGTCGGCTGAGCTCCAAAAAAGCCCTACTTAGAACCCAAATTTCACCAAGGGCTTTGTAAAAAACACATCTTTAGCATCTTTAGCAGTTTTCATCAACTTCTCCCTCCCACGCTCTCTTCCTCCCTCATCTCATCTCCCATGAATAAAACCTCCACAGCAGCTCCCTTACCCCACAAACACATCAGGAACCAGGAGCCAGTGGCTCAGCAGTCCTGATTATGTTCTCAGGCTCTGTTGGACTCAGCTAGATCCATCTATGATAATAGGTGTTTGATAAATAGAAGTGATTTTTCAGTGTCAGACTCCAAGCAGGATAATTTTCAGATAACATGTCATGTAACACCCATCTGCAAATTAGTCAACACTATCCCTGCTTACATACAAAGAAGCTGGGGCACAGAGAAATTTGAGGATAAACCCAAAGTCACATGGTCGGAAAGTAAAGCACGGAGATTCAGGCCCAATTTTTTCTTCTCGCAATTCAAAACCCATGCCCCTTCCAGCGTACCTCTCCTATCCATCCCAAGGGTGTCTCCTCAGCCCCCATTCTGTGTCCTGAACCCAGGGTGGAGCTGGGATGGGCAGGGAGTAGCAAAACTCAGGCCAGACTGGGAGGCTGCATTTACAGCATCCTCCCAGCCTGGCCTGAGTTTCTATCTGATGTTTCAGTCCCAATTGTCACACAGAATTGTCCTTGCAACTGTGAGAAATTGGGGAGTAGGGGGTAGTGGGAGGGCACACTTCTTGAATTAGTTTCTTGAGAAATTCAAAATAGTCCCTCTCCCTAGAGACTGAGTTAGCCTTTGCATTTCAAGACTCCAAGGGATTCCAGAGAAGGCACTTGTCCCTTTAGGGGATGCAGAGTAAGATTTTGATGTGCAAGGTTTATTTTAGTCAAGGAGAGGAAAGGGAAGCGGGAAGCTAGAGAGTCATATGAAACCTAATAAGGATGGATTTCTTTGTGTGGGGAGAATATTCTGGACTCTTGCCATCTCCTGCAGCACCAGATAGGCATCCCTATCAAGTAGCTTTTGTCGGTGTAAGGAAGTGAAAGCAGAAATAGCCGCTCTCTAACCCAGGACTGCAAGTCTGAAGGCGCACCCAGGGTATCAGCAGAGTCGGCCTTGCAGGAAGGCTGAGCTTGAATTTGTTCGATCATCCAACATTGGTGGCACATGTACTGGGCATTTTGATATTGTCATGAATGGTATTACCATAATCATATCACCATACAGGACATGATTACCCCAACTTCAAAAATTTTTTAAAAAAAAACAGAGCTTTGGAAAGATAAAGTGCCAAGGACACACAGTCATTCAATGTCAAAATCGTGGTCCCAACCAGTTCTTTCTGGCCCTAATCCAGCATCTCTCCACCACCTAGGGCCCCGCTCTCAGGGAGTCTCATTCTAGAGGAGACTCAGACCCATAAATGGAAATGTGTCATACCATGTGATAAGTAGGACAATGAAGCAGAGAGGTTCAGAGCATGGACTTTAAACCTGGACAGACCTAGAGGTACTACGCAGCTCTGCAACCTGCTAGCTGTGTGGTGCATTATTTAAACTCTCTAAGTTTTCTGATCTGTAACATGCAAATATCAAGTCCTACTTAATTCATAAGGTTAGGTGAGAATTAAAATATGAAAATCACTTAGCCCAGTGCCTGCATAGAGTAGCAGCTCAATAAGTGAGAGCTGCTGTATCACCGTTGAAATGGCCACGTGCAGAGGGAGGGTATAAGAGAGACTTTCTGAACCCAAAGCCAGACCCAGCAGGAAGCATTTCTGTGCAGCTGGAGTCCCAGTGGGAAGGACATCCCCCATGCAGGAGTGAGTGGAGGTATATAAACACATGAGGCAAAAGGTAGCTGCAGCTCTATCTTTCACCTGCAGAGAGCCTACGCCTAACCAGGGGCTCAGAGCTAAGTAGTAGGAAGGATGGAGTGAGGTTTCCCATCAAGGAGACCTTCTCAATGTACTCTCACACCCAGGTCCATCAGGGTTTGGTGCTCCTTCCCTCCATTCCTAGCTATGTGGTCTTGGGAGGGAGCTTAGCCTCTCTGAGACTCGTTTCCTCATCTTTAAATTGTGAAAGGTAATGTCTATCTCATTATTAAAAGAAATCATGTGTACAAACCACCTAGCAGAGTGCCACACAGGAAGTGCTGGAGAGACAGCAAGTATGTTCGCTTCCCCACTTCACGTCCTCTAAGCAAGCTAAGAAAGTAGAAAGTCTTTCAACGGCCTCCATGACTTTGTGTGCACATGCCCACACACACACACACACATGCACACACATGCATGCACAGAGAAAGAGAAGAAAGAATAGGGTTTAAAACTATCTCAGCAAATGTTTAAGTTCTGCAAGGCACTGGAAAAATTACAGCTCTGAAAAGGGTATCTGCTTAAAACCAGACCAGGTCTATCTCCCGTCTCACAGCCAGCACTGTGAGAAGCATTGCTATGCAAAACCTCTGCATGGCCTCCTACCCCCATCCAAGCCCCAACTCAGCCCCACCAAAAGAAAATTTCTCCTCGGGGCCTTGGACTGTCTAGTTTGGAGAGCTCTGAAAAAAAAAATGCTTCCGCCTTGGCCAGTTAAAGCACTTCCTATGCAAGTTTCCTTTCTAATCTCTGGGAGAGTCTGAGTTCCACAGCAGTCATGCTTTGGTGAGAGCCTAAGTAGAGAAGGAGGTCAAGAAGAGGGTTCAGGGTATCAGATAAAAGGGGCAACTGGGGTCAACTTAATCGGTCAGGAACCATCTAGCAGCTTGAATAAAAGCCTTCCCACACTTACCTAACATCAAGCGATGGGGTAGCTTCCTTTCTCTTCCTTGTGGGTTATAGGGACCAGTAAGAGTGGGCTTGTGGCCAGGTGCAGTGGCTCACGCCTGTAATTCCAGCACTTTGGGAGGCCAAGGTGGGCAGATAACCTGAGGTCAGGAGATCGAGACCATCCTGGCCAACATGGTGAAACCCCATCTCTTCTAAAAATGCAAAAATTAGCTGGGTATGGTGGCGCATGCCTGTAATCCCAGCTACTCAGGAGGCTGAGGCACAAGAATCACTTGAACCCAGGAGGCAGAGGTTGCAGTGAGCCGAGATCACACCACTGCACTCCAGCCTGGCGACAAAGCAAGCCTCCGTCTCAAAAAAAAAAAAAAAAAGAGTGGGTTTTTGTTGCCCTGGCATGTTCCCACCTATTGCCCTTGAGCTAGTCACTATGGTCCCTGCCTTACAGATGAAGATACTCAGTTCAGAAGGGAAATCACTTGCCCCTGACTACATAAATAGTGAGAAACATGCCATCATAGACTCAAATCTCCTGATTCCTAATCCAGGACTCTTGTATAAGAGTGTTTCCTTTATAATGTTATAAAAATATCACAGGGCCTGGCATAAATTAAGAGCTAAGTAAAATGTAGCTAAGGACTGTTAACTATCGTATTTACTGGGGACAACAATTCAGGGAAGAAATTATTATTATCTCCATTTGTGGATGAGGAAACTGAGGCCCAGAGGGCCAGGGGTGAGCAAACTGGCCCATGGCCTGTTTTATAAATAAAGTTTTATTGGAACACAGCAATGTTCATTCATTGACATGCTGTTGATGGCTGCTTTTGCACTACAACAGCAGAGGTGTGCAATTGCAACAGAGAATGCATGCCTAAATAGCCTCAAGTTTTGGAGATAGAGTCTTTATAGAGGTAATTAAATTAAAATAAGGTCATCAGCATGGACCCTAATCCAATACAACCAATGACCTTATAAGAAAGGGGGAATTAGAGAACATACACATACAGAAAATGTGAAGACACAGGGAGAAGATTAGCCACCTACAAGCCAAGGAGAAAGGCCTCAGAAGGAATCAACCTTATTAACATCTTGATCTTGGACTTCCAGCCTCCGGAACTGGGCAGAGATAAATTTCTGACGTTTAAGCCACCCAGTCTACAGGACTTGATTACAGCAGCCCTAGCAAACTCGTACCATTACCTATTCAATGCCAGACACTGGTTCTAGATGTTAGGGAGAGAACGGGGCCTTATTAGGTATTAATATCATTATCTAAGCATTTGGCTTGTTTGAAGACATTAAATCCTCAAAGGATGCCTATTAGCTAAGTACTCTTTTATTTCACATTTTACAGATGAGGCATTTGAAGCCCAGAGATCACACAGCTAAAAAGCGAGGAATAAGGCACCACTCAGCTTCCAGGAAGTTTGGGTATACCGGACAGCAAATGAATATCCAGCAGGGAACTGTTAGAGGCCACTGGCAACAGCCGCTGCCCCCTTGACTGGCTTAATGAAGACTTGGCATGCAGCAGAAGAGCCAGCAAACAGGACTGACGAGATGTGCCTGTGCTTGAGCCATCACCAACAACACCCAGCCATGCCCTCCCCATGCTGGTTTTGATGACATAAGGCCCACTGAACTTTGAATGACTAGCTCACCTGGAAAGGCTCTGGCTGCCTCTGAGTGTCATTGTCACCCTATTGCCCATTTCCTGACTCTGTTCCCTTCTCTAGCCCTGCAAGGCACTCAGGCTTCTAGAGGATCTAGTGAGATCACCTCGTGATATGGTAGGATTTGTGTCCCCACCCAAATCTCATCTTGAAATGTAATCCCCATAGTCCCCATGGGTCAAGGGAGAGACCAGGTGGAGGTAATTGAACCGAGGGGGCAGTTTCCCCCATGGTGTTCTCATGATAGTGAGTGAGTTCTCCCAAGACCTGATGGTTTTATAAGGGGCTCTTCCACCTTCACTCAGCACTTCTCCTTGTGAAGAAGGTGCCTTGCTTCCCCTTTGCCTTCCGCCATGATTGTAAGTGTCCTGAGGCCTCCCCAGCCATGCTGAACTGTGAGTCAATTAAACCTCTTTCCTTTATAAATAACCCAGTCTCCGGCAGTTCTTTATAGAAGTATGAAAACGGACTAATACACTTGGAAATGTTACCCGCCCAGTGGCAGGCACAGAGGGGACTCTGAACACATAATTTCCTATTTCCTTCTTCCTCACTTCCCATGCAATCCTTTCTAGTAATGCTCAGAAAAAAAGAGCCAGGTGAAAACCCCAACGCACTCAGACGACAGACATCAGGGTCATGAAGCATTTAATCCTTCAACAAATACTTACTGAGCACCTACTGTGCTGGAGATAGAGCAGTGAACAAGACAGACGTGGCTCCTACCCTCCTGGGACTCACAATCTAATTGGAGAGAGAAGGTTGAATGAGTAATTACAGATGTAATGAGTATTATCCAACAGGAAGCTTAAAGGGCAAGTGAGTTTACAAGCGAGGCCTTGCCCTAGCTAGGGGTGAGGGATAACAAAGAAGGACTTCTCCAACACAATGTCATTTAAGTGGAAGGAGGAGTAAAGACTGGCTAGCAAAAGGAGGGAGGAATCTGCAAAGTGTGCCGTGCCCATGTTCCTACCAACAAATGACAGGGTGACTTCGGACGGCTTCCTTCCTTCCCCTCTCTGGGCCTCTATTTTCCCACTCACACAATATATGGGTGGCCTGAGTCCTGTTAAATTTCCTTCAAGCTCTAAAAGCCTATGGCATCTTTGACATCTAATTCAGGCAAGAGAAAAATTGCTCCCACCTCTCTTTCATATCCTAGAAAAATACACATTACATTATTCAAAATTTAAACTGGGAGTATCTCTGTCCTTGGTGAGACTCTGAGCTCCCTGAGTTCAGGGATGCAGTCTTATCTCATGTATCTGCCTCCATCGCCCAGTACAGAGCCCAGCACAAAGCAGCGACTTAGGGAGAGGGTGCTGAGTGGAATTTGATTGAAGGGAAATTGGAACTGAGGTGTGGCAGCTACCGCCAGTACCCTACACCTACACAAACACACATGCACACATGCACTCACGCATGTGCACATGTGCACACGTTTCTGCTTCCTCAACGAAATGCTTTCCCCACATTCTTCCAATCGTTTTTGGCACCTGTCCCAACCACCTACCTCTGTACCACCTGCTTATGGACCTAAAAGCCTCGAACAGTTAATTCCCTGCTCCCAGACCTGGAGAGGTACTCACTCCCCAGATGAGGCACTTTCAAAAGCTGCTGGGGCATCAGATGCGCACCCAGCAAGGTGCAGGCTCTGTGGCTAGCCAGGGACAGCTTGCTCAGTGAGTTCACATTCCCAGCAGGGTATAATGAGGGGGTATGAGGAGGGCAGGGATAGCCAGCTTAACTTGAGCAAGACCCCTCCTCACACAGGCTAGCTGTGTGACCCAACAGAGGAGGAGGGGGGTTTCTCCCACTTCAATCCATTTGGCCTATATTTTTTAGAGAGTTTGATTTGCACAATGCAAAGTTAGAGGCATTAGAAGACACCATAACGGGAATCCTGAAAAAATAAAATGACAATTAGTAAGCCCTCATTTCCATGTTTTCCCACGAAGTTGTAAGCACAGCCCTATGGGGGGAGTGGATTACCATCCCCATGGTCACAGATAAGGAAGAGGAATTGGCATCTATGGAGCACCAGTCAGTGCTATGCTAAGAAGTTTGTAGTTATCATTTTATTTTACATTTACTCTTTAGCCCAAACTGCCAAGTGGAGATTATTAACCCCACATTAGAGATAAAGAAATTGAGGCTGAGAGAAGGCAAATAACTTGCCCAAGATCCTGAGAAATAACTAATCCTAATCCCCAAACTGGGATTAATTCCAAAGTCCCATGCCCTTCATCCACTCATTTGTTTAAAATATAGTACTTAGCACATAATAGATGTTTATGCCCTATTCCACCCATGGGTTTCATGACCCTGGAAAGATCCAGATGCCAAAAGGACCTGCCTGGACCAGGGAGAAAGATAAATCCCAAATTGGAAATGAGATTGTAGTTTTAAAGGACTAACTGGCCAGAAAATGCTCAGATCTGCCGTAAAGGTGTATTCCATTGAGCACATGTGAAGGTAATGATTCAAGAAAAAATAAAATTGTTTCATGCTTATATCTCACCAAGACCAACCTATTCAATGTGCCAATTGCAATAGCATGAGGCCCGTTATAACAAGAGGGGCAGGGGCTTCTGGGAGGGACAGAGCATAGGCTCAAAGCCCAGCTGTGCGGAGTCAGAGATGACTTCCCTGAGGGGACTTACAGGATGAACAGCCATCCAGGCAGAGGCCTGGTAGGAAACAGAGAGTTAATGTGCCTGCAATGACAGGACAAATGGACGTGAAAAGGCTGGAGAGGTGGGGGTAGGTAGGAACCAGATCGTAAAGGCCCTTGTAGGTCAGGGTGAGGACTCCAGACTTCATTCCAAGGATAAAAGAGATCCTTTGCAGGGTTTTATGCAGGAGTGTAAGAATCTGATTTGCAGCTGGGCACAGCGGCTCACGCCTATAATCCCAGCATTTTGGGAGGCCGAAGTGGGCAGATAACCTGAGGTCAGGAGTTCGAGACCAGCCTGGCCAACATGGTGAAAACCCTTCTCTACTAAAAATACAAAAACTAGCCGGGTGTGGTGGCACGCAACTGTAATCCCAGCTACTCGGGGGCTGAGGCAGGAGAATCACTTGAACCCAGGAGGCAGAGGTTGCAGTGAGCCAAGATCATGCCCCTGTACAACAGCCTGGGCGACAGAGCAAGACTCCATCTCAAAAAAAAAAAAAAAAAAAAAGGAATCTGATTTACATTTATAAAACAAAGTCTAGTTGTGGTATGAAGCAGAGATTGAAAAAGTGAAAAAGTCAATTCAAGAAGCTTAGAAAGAAATCCAAGAGATGACGGTGGCTTGGACCAGTGACAGTGAAGGGAGGAGTGGGGAAGTGTGAAAAGGATTTCAAAGAGCTCAGCAGTCATTTATGGTGAAAGGCTCATCATCTATTATTTCTCCGAGGAAATTCAGGACTTCAGGACAAATCTGTGTCACTTTTGATCCAAAGATGTGCTTGAC